>NC_000012.12:38975279-39126794 GCF_000001405.40 Homo sapiens | reverse complement strand
TCTCAGCTCTGAAGGCTGTGAGACCCCTGATTTCCCACTCCACACGTGATATTTTTGTGTGTGTGTGTGTCTTTAATTCCTATAGTGCTGCTGAGTTAGGGTGTCCATGACCGAGCTGGTCTTGGCACTAATTTCAATAATCCGATGTCAATCTAGAGTGAGGTATCTGGTAGCATTCCATAAAAAACAGGGTTTGCACTGTGAAACATTATTTTTGTGTCTTTAATGAACATAATAGTTCAATTGACTTTTACTAAGAGCATCTTATGGTCAGGCAGTATCCTAGACTCTGCTGATGCAAAGCATACTAGACAAATTACCTTCCTCAAGGAGCTCACTATTAGGGAACACAAATCCATAAACTAATAGTTATCTTAAAAGAATATTATTTTAAGGCAGATTAACCTAAGTTGAGGGGGTGTAATAAAAGAATTTCCAGAGACAATACCACTTGAGTCTTGAAGTAATCAGTTTAAAAGGGCAGGAGAAATATGTTTTAAGCAGAAGCATGTACATAGGAAATGATACAGGAAGATCATCACACATTCAGGCATCGGTAAGTGGTTCTATATTTAAATATATATTAAAATTAAAGTGGAATATAAATATATAAATTAAAATAAATTCTGTATGTCTGGAGCTAGCATCTGTTAGGGGGAGTAAAAATGTGGCTAAAGGATAATGATCAGACCTTGAAAAGGCTGTGTGAGACCTAGCGAGGCCCACTGCATATAAATAAGGATAGCAATGTGTTTGGAAAACTCCTTCACATTACTCCCAGTTAAAGTAGAGTAAAGGCAGCCGTGTGCTGCCCTAATAATTGAACTCAATTATAACCCATGAAAAAAAGTTTTCCAACACAGACAGACTGAGGCAGGTAGCTGAGAGTGGAAACTGTACCTTGTAAGATGCCCAAAAATGTTTGCATAACCTCAGGTAATATATCATAAACACTTCCTTTGAAACAGCCAGTTCCTGGAATGTGGGAAGGCTGTGAGAATACACGTGAACTCCATTTGGCATGCCACAGACTGGCTGACAGCTGAGGTGAATAAGAAAGTGGGTAGCTAGACCTTTTTCTTTCCCACAAATCAAACCATTGGAATGACAGATTGGAGCTGAAAACGTAGGAGGTGCAGCTAGTAATGCTGGCCAGCTGCTAAATTGAAACACACAGAACATACAACACACTTGCACACACACCCCACACATACACATGAGCACAAATGCACACATGTATATGTACACACGCATGCATGCAACACACATGTACACGCACACATAATACAAACACCACACACACATACACAGACCACACACACAAAAGACATACACAGACTCACGTGAGCATGTGTGCATGCCTTATAAGGAAGGGGCTTTGATTAGACCCAAAGAGACTGTTAGCTATGTGCTGAGTAATAAATAGTCCCCAGAGAAAATAATGAAGGAAAATGCCTGGGAACAATAAACAAAAATTCTTTTGCATAATCTTCAACCAAGAGCTGGCCTGAAAGACTAAGTACCATTGGAAGACTTGCTTCTCCCCAATAGAATATAGTGATAGGTTGTCACACTGTGATTTTGTTAATTGTGTTATATAAAACTCAGTCATGCTAGCTTTTTTAATAAATATCTAGAGGTTCTCTCTCTTTTTAAAATTTTGTTTATTTGTAAAAATTTGGGGGTACAAGTGCAATTTTTTTACATGAAGAGAATGTATACTGATCAAATCACGGCTTTAGGGCAAGAGTCCCCAACCCCTGGGCCACAGACAGATACTGGTCTGTGGCCTGTTAGGAACCAGGCTGCACAGCAGGAGGTGAGCACAAGCATTACTGCCTGAGCTCCGCTTCCTGTCAGATCAGCTGGGGCATTCGATTCTCATAGGAGAGCGAACCCTATAGCGAACTGCACATGCAAGGAATCCAGGTTGCACACTCCTTATGAGAATCTAACTAATGGCCTGATGACCTGAGGTGGAACAGTTTCATCCCAAAACCATCCCCTACCCCCAAGTCCGTGGAAAAATTGTCTTCCACAAAACAGGTCCCTGCTACCAAAAAGATTGGGAACTAGGGTATTCATCACCCAAATAATGTACATTGTACCCATTAAGTAATTTCTCATCATTCACCCCGTTCCCACCCCCTTACCCTTCTCTCCTTTGCTGGCTTTGTAGAAGCAATTTACCATGAATTCCATAGCGCAAGGAGATGAATTCTGTCAACAACCTGAGGGAGCTTAGAGGCAGAGCCTTTTCTAGTCAAGATGTTACCAGAAACGGGACGCAATCCACACCTCACGAAAGCATTCTTGGACCTTGCACAAGAAAGAATTTGGGTCAAGTCCACAGAGTAAAGTGAAAGCAAGTTTAAAGAAAGTAAAGCAATAAAAGGATGATTATTCCGAAGTCACTTATGGAAATGTTTAATATAAATTTTATAGTCATAATCATTGGAACTTGCATCCTGACTTTGTAAAGATAAATGTATATATTATGATGCATTAAATCACTGCATATAGATTGCTGTTTTATACGTAGTATAATTTTAATTCAATAAATGAGTCAAAATTTGAAAAAAAAAAAAAAAAAGAATGATTATTCCATAGACAGAGCAGCAGCATGGGCTGCACGACTAGGAATACTTACAGTTATTTCTTGATTATGTGCTAAACAAGGCATGGATTATGCATGAGTTTTCCAGGAAAGGGGTGGAGATTTCCTGAAAGTGAGAGTTTCTCCTCTTTTTAGACCATATAGGGTAACTTTCTAACATTGCCATGGCATTTGTAAACTGTCATGGTGCTGGTGGGAGTGACTTTTAGCATGCTAATGCATTATAATTAACATATAATGAGCAGTGAGGATGACTAGAAAACACTTTTTATCGCCATCTTGCCTTCAGTGGTTTCAGATGCCTTCTTTACCTCATCCTGTTTTATCAGCAGTCTTCCTGACCTGTATCTTTTGCTGATCTCCTATCTCATCCTGTGAGTAAGAATGCCTAACTTCCTGGGAATGCAGCCCAGCAGGTCTCAGCCTTATTTTACCCAGTCTCTATTCAAGATGGAGTTGCTCTGGTTCAAATGCCTCTGCATTTTCCATGATTCAAACCATCTGCTGCAAGCAGATACCTTGATTGCAGCCTCTGGACACCCTAAGCAGAGGATCCAATCAAGTCAAGCCTGGACTCCTGACACACAGCAACTAAGATAATAAATGTGTATTTTTTTTAAACTGGTAATGTGGGCAATCATTTGTTACACAACAATAGAAAAGTGATGCAAATATGAACACGATTACTGACTTCTGAAGTTTACAGTCTCATGGAAGACATAGACAAATAAAACAGTTATCTGCAATAGAATATGGTAAAAGTAACACTGAGGAATCAGGGCAGTGCTGGACTGTGCTGGACACAGGCAGAGGGAATAAAGATAGATATTCAGGAAGCAGAGGCAAGGGCAGAGGGCAGCTGATCAGTTGGGCGGGAGGCTTGAAGGCCTGGCTGCCTAACTCAGGGCCCAAGAGAACTGATGGGCAGAGAAATGTATATTAAAAAAAGATGGGGGGAAATGGTGGATAGGAGACAGGACTAACTTGCAGCTCCCACTCAGAGGGAAAGAGCAGTGTGTGGAGACCCACATCATGAACTTTTGCTCCAAGAAGTACTACAGGTACATACCAGGAAAGCCGAGAGAATCCACAGACCCTTTGAAGGAGGTGGATTGCCCCTGCGGGCTCCGTGGGACAGCTGAGGAACTGTGAGTCGGCTTGCTTTCTCAGCTGGAAGGCTTATAGCTTGGGGCAAGTTCTCAGCCCTGCTAACCAGCTGACTGGAAATAAACTCAGTGCTAGGGCACAGTGGGGCACGGTGGGAGTGAGACTGGCTTTTTGAGCTGCAAGATGTGTGGGAATGGGGTGAGGCCTCTGGCTGCTGGCATTCCCTCACTTCCCTGATAACCTGTGTGATGCAGCAGAGACAGCCATAATCCTCTTTGGGAAAATACTGTATTGGGCTGGGAACCACACCCCCTTCCCCCAACAGCAGCTGCAGCAAGCCCCGCCCAAGGAGAGTCTGAGCTCAGAAGCCTAACTCTGCCCTCACCTGGCTGTCTTTCTCTAGGAGCCCTGGTAGCTGAAGACAAAGGACATAATCTCCTGGGAGCTCTATGGCCCATCCCCCACCTCCTCTAGGGCAAGATTACATCCTCCCTATACAACCACAGCTGATGTGCACTTGAAAGCGCCACCTCCTGATTGGAGGCCAATCAAAACAAAATTAGTATATTTAACAAAAATACAACCAAAGACCCTCACAGAGTCCAATTTACTACCCTGCTACCGCTAACAGACTAGGCGCTGGTATCCATGGCTAAGAGGCCTAAAGATGGATCACATCACAGGACACTTTGCGGACACACCCCAGTACCAGGCTGGAGACTAGATTCAGAAGTGACTAGATTCGGAAGAGAAGTAACAATAACTGCAGTTCAGATTTCAGGAAGCCCCATCGCTAGGGGAAAGAGGAGTGCACCACATCAAGGGAGCCCCCTGTGGGACAAAAGAATCTGAACAGCAGCTCTTGACCCCAGATCTTTTCTCAAACATAGTCTACTCAAATGAGAAGGAATGAGAAAAACAATTCTGGTAACATGAAAAAACAAGGTTCTTTAACACCCCCAGAAGATCACACTAGCTCATAAGCAATGGATCCACACCAAGATGAAGTCTCTGAATTGCCAGAAAAGAATTCAGAAGGTCAATTATTAAGCCAGTCAAGGAGGCTCCAGAGAAAGTTGAAGTCCAATGTAAAGAATGTTTTTTAAAAAAGATAACAGGATATGAATGGAAAAATCTTCAGTGAAATAGATAGCATAAATAAAAAATAATCACAACTTCTGGAAATCAAGGACACACTTAGAGAAATGCAAAATCCACTGGAAAGTCTCAGCAATAGAATCAAACAAGTAGAAGAAAGAACTTCAGAAGTTGAAAACAAGGCTTTAGAATTAACTTAATCCAACAAAGACAAAGAAAAAAGAATTTTAAGAAAATGAACAAAGCCTCCAAGAAGTTTGGGATTATATTAAATGACCAAACCTAAGAATAATTGGTGTTCCCAAGGAAGAAGGGAAATCTAAAAGTTTGGAAAACATATTTGAAGGAATAATTGAGGAAGACTTCCCTGGCCTTGTTAGAGATCTAGACATTCAAATACAAGAAGCTCAAAGAACACCTAGGAAATTCATCACAAAAAGATCAGTGCCTAGGCACATAGTCATCAGGTTATCTGAAGTCAAGGTAAAGGAAAGAATCTTAAGAACTGTGAAGAAAAAGTATCAGGTAACCTATAAAAGAAAACCTGTCAGATTAACAGCAGATTTCTCAGCAGAAACCCTACAGCTAGAAGAAATTGGGGTCCTATCTTTAGGCTCCTTAAACAAAAGAATTATCAGCCAAGAATTGTGTATCCAGTGAAACTGAGCTTCATAAATGAAATATATAGTCTTTTTCATGCAAATGCTGGAGAATTTACTGCTACCAAGCCAGCACTACAAGAACTGCTAAACGGAGCTCCAAATCTTGAAACAAATCCTCAAAATATACCAAAATAGAATCTCCTTAAAGCATAAATCTCACAGGACTTATAAAAAATAACACAAACCAACAAACAAATTTTAAAAAAACAATAAAACTTAAGAATATAACTAACCAAAGAGGTGAAAGACCTCTATAAAGAAAACTATGAAACACTGCTGAAAGGAATCATAGATGACAGAAATGAATGGAAACATATCCCATGCCTACAGATGGGTAGCATCAATATTGTGAAAATCGTCATGCTGCCAAAAGCAATTTACAAATTCAATGCAATTCTCATCAAAATACCACCATCATTCTTCACAGAACTAGAGAAAACAATCCTAAAATTCACTATACTATAAGGCCACGCATAAGGCCACAGTCATCAAAACAGCATGGTACTGGTATAAAAATAGGTATATAGAACAATGAAACAGAATAGAGAACCCAGAAATAAAGCCAAATACTTAAAGTCAACTGATCTTCAACAAAGCAAACAAAAACATAAAGTAGTGAAAGGACACTTTATTCAGCAAATGGTGCAGGGATAATTGGCAACCCATATGTAGTAAAATAAAGCTGGATCCTTATCTCTCACTATACAAAAATCAACTCAAGATAGATCAAAGACTTAAATCTAAGACCTGAAACCATATAAGTTCTAGAAGATAACACCAGACATTTGCTTCTAGACATTTGCTTAGGCAAAGACTTCATGGCCAAGATCCCAAAAGCAAATGCCACAAAAACAAAGATATATAGATGGGATTTCATTAAACTAAAGAGGTTCTGCACAGCAAAAGAAACAATCAGCAGAGTAAACGGACAACCCAGAGTGGGAGAGAATCACAATCTATACATCTGACAAAGGACTAATTTCCAGAATCTACAAAGAACTCAAACAAATCCGCAAGAAAAAAAAAACAATCTCACCAAAGAAGTGGGCTAATGACATGAATAGACAATTCACAATAGAAGATATACAAATGACCGACAACATATGAAGAAATGCTTAACACCATTAATGATTGGGGAAATGCAAATCAAAACCATAATGGGATACCACCTTACTCCTGCAAGAATGGCCATAATCAAAAAATCAAAAAGTAATAGTTGTGGGTGGGGATGTTGTGAAAAGGGAACACTTTTACACTGTTAGTGGGAATGTAAACTAGTACAACCATTATGGACAACAATGTGGAGATTCCTTAAAGAACTAAAAGTAGAACTACTATTTGATCTAGCAATCCCTCTCCTGGGTATTTATACCGAGGAAAAGAAGCCATTATATAGAAAAGATACTTGCACATGCATGTTTATAGCAGCACAATTCACAGTTGCAAAAATATGGAACCAGCCCAAATGCCCATCAGTCAATGAGTGGATAAAAAAATTGTTGATATACACCTTATGGAGTATTACTCAGCCATACAAAGGAATGAAATAATGGCATTTGCAGCAATGTGGATTGAATCAGAGACCATTATTCTAAGTGAATTAACTCAGGAACGGAAAACCAAACATTGTGTATTCTCACTCATAAGTGTGAGCTTAGCTATGAAGATGCAAAGGCATAAGAACAATACAATGGAGTTTGGTGACGTGGGGGAAAGGGTGGGAGGCAGAATGAGGGATAAAGGACTACACATTGGGTACAGTGTACACTGCTCAGGTGTGATGGGTGCACCTAAATCTCAGAAATCACCACTAAAGAACTTATTCATGTGACCAAACACCACCTGTTCCCCAAAAACCTATTGAAATAAAAATAAATAATTAAAAATATAAATAAAGTCACACTGAAGGAAGTGTAGGGGTTTGTTTCCAGGGAAATGAAAATAATTCAGTCTTGCTGATCTCAGGAGAGACAAATCTCTGGAGGGAGAGAAAAATCTCTGGAGGGAGGCAGAAAGCTGATGAGGAAAAGCTTTTTGATCCTTTCCTGGGAACCTAACTTATCTTGGAAAAATGGGGAAACCATGACGTTTTAAGCAGAGGTGTAGCTGAATCTAATTTGCATATTAAATTGATCACCCCAATGGTTGTCAGAAATTTAATTAAAAATTAATTGACAAATAATCATCTGTATTTATGGGGTACCATAGGATGCTTTGGTCTAGAAATTTAGATTTTTAGGAGAAATATTGAATTTGGGAGATATACATAACTAAATCGAGAAAATAAATGCTAGAATTAACAAAATGGCATTGATTATGAGGAATAGAGAGGACACAAGGTGCTGTAAATGCAGAGTTGTTTGACTTTGGTGATTCACTGAATTTGGCTTGTTGAGGAATAGAAATACAGAGGTTGCTGACTTATGTGACAAAAGGTGAGTGATGAAGTTAAAATACAAAGATAAAATCATGATTATTTTACAGATACTAAGTACACACATGTCAAAAGTTTCACTTATTAGCTCCTTTAACTTACTAATTTGTTAGATAAACAGTAAGATGTTCAAAGGATAAACTGAAAATATTAAAGGTAATCAGGGATACTGAAATGCATTTGCTCATAGATGTAAAACTTATATCTTGGAGGAACAATAAAATGTGTTGTTTGGAATAATTGTTCATATAGGGTGGAAATCAAACTGGTGAAACTTCGTTTGCAATTCTATAAACAAGAAAAATTACCCTCTTCAATGTACAGAGTTGTAAAATAGCCAAAGACAAAAGGTATAAAGCAAGCATACAGACCCAGCATTCCATTGAAAGTGCATCTAGAAATCTTTAGCCCATCCTGGTTTTTCTTTTTTTTTTTTTTTCTGAGACAAAGTCTCACTCTGTCGCCCAGGCTGGAGTGCAACTTCTGCCGCCCGGGTTCAAGCAATTCTCCTGTCGCAGCCTCCCGAGTAGCTGGGATCACAGGTGCCTGCCACCGCGCCTGGCTAATTTTTGTAGTTTTAGTAGAGACAGGGTTTCACCATCTTGGCCAGGCTGGTCTTGAACTCCTGACCTCGTTATCCACCTGCCTCAGCCTCCCAAAGTGTTGGGATTACAGGCGTGAGCCACCGTGCCCGGCCCACCTTGGTTTTTCAAAATTCTCCCGAGCAATGGTGCTGTTAGTGTTGGAACATATCTGAAACAGGGCACCAAAGTATGTTAGTGGTGGTGAATACACAAGGGTTTACAGACACCTCAATTCTTGGCTCCTAAAATTCATTAGAGGAGGCAGAAGGCAGAAGGAGAGACTGAGGCAAGTTTTAGAGCAGGAGTGAAAGTTTATTAAAAATTTTTAGAGCAGGAACAAAAGAAATGAAAGTATACTTGGAAGAGGACCAAGCAGGTGACTTGAGAGATCAAGTGAACAGTTGGACCTATTGAGTTGGGGTTTTATATGCTGGCATACTTCCAGGGTCTTGCATCCCTTCTCCCCTGATTCTTCCCCCAAGGGAAGGGCTGTCCATAAGTGCAAGTGGGCCTGCCAGCACTTGGGAGGGGAGCATGCAAAGTGTGTTTACTAGAGTCGTATGCATGCTCACCTGAGGTGTTCTTCCCTTACCAGTCAAATATCCCTAAGGCATCATATACCACTTAACCTCTGCCATTTTTCCTCTTAGTGTGCCTGTGTGAGCCCACTCACCCAACTCCTCAGATCTTATCGGGAAGCTACTGATCACCAGTTTCAGGCTTTTCCTATGTATTGGGAGCCTGCCTTTCCCTGGTGCTGGCTGCTACCTATTATTCTTTTAGAGAAACAGTTAACAACCACCAGACCATCACCTGATGGTTTCCTGACATTCCTGGTTGGGGGTTGGGGGTTGCGGGGAGCCCTCTCCTGCCCTGTTTGTGTCTAACTAGCTGCCTACTGTAACAGTGCCGAAAATGAGTCTAGGAGAAAAGTAAGCTCAGAAAGAAACACAAAGAGAAAACTCAGTATATTCTTGTGAGACAGAAAAGCTTTTCTTTTCCATTAGAGGAGTGAGAGGGCAAGAGGACAGATCTCATGTCAGCATTTTCTCTTTCACAGGTCCAGCTTTGAATGAGTTTGATGTGGCAGAAACTTCAAATACATATCGGAAAATCAAGAATGCTGGAAATCATGCTACGCTTTCCTAGGCACAGCCTGAGGGAGGCTGCAGGCCTACAGGAGAATTGATGCACTTGGCTCAGTGCCACATCCAACATTAATGGAGGGAGAGTGTGGATTTGAGGAGGAGAGAGACTAAATATATGAGCCTGAGGCTATACTCTTGGCTCCCTATGGCCTGCAAATGAAATGCCTGGGATTGAGAAATGCCTTTTTATTCCAGTAGAATAGATGCAAAAGTGCTGAGAGGATGAGGAGAGCAGTGGAGGCCCCAGACCACAAGAAGTGGGAACTTCAAGGCCAAAGGCCAATGCCACACAACCTCATCATTTTATTTTCACACTAGAGTGTGTTGTGAGTAAAATTTGCATCTCCATTGCAAAACATGTTAAAGGAGAGTGCTGTTAGAAAATAGAGGCCGGAATATTTGCACATTCATTCTTCCTTTATTCCAAGTGTTTGTTGAGTACTTAACATATTGGACAATGGGCTGATAGCCTTATTTTCTATATCTCTTTTAAGAGGAGAAACCATAAAGATACATTTTAGGGAAAGATATGTGCATATCCCTCTGACTTCTCACTCTCTTGGTAGGAAGATATGTCTGTAGTGTTTCTATTCATAGAAATGTAATTCAAAAATTCAGCCAATAGTTATTGAGTGACTCCTATACACCAGGTGTTATGTTAGGTCTTGGGGAAGAACAATGATGAACACTATAGAACAGTGTTTGCTTTCCTTCCAGGCTAGGATGGAAAATAGTACTTAAACCATTGTGATACAGCCTCATAAGCATTGTGGTTGGATAAGTACAGTGTGCTAGAAGAGCATCTATGGCAGGCCCTGAATCCACATTTATACCCCATCTTCAGGAGTGGTTATGTTACTGTTAAGAGACTTGTACTTTACTTAGAAATTCTTTCATTTATGTAATAGGTATCATGTGTGGAATATGTAGGCTAAGGTACAACCCCACTCAGTCATATGACTCCACTCACATGTCAGAGGGCTGAAAAGAAAATGTAGTCTCTGGTCAGGAAGATGCCTTCAATAACTACCTTCGATAACCAATAACCATGTGGAAGGGCAGCACAAATATTTGCTGGGTAGTTAGCTCTCTCTGCTATATAACCTGATAATTGTTTATGACCAACTGCTTTAAGTAAGTTCCTCAAATTAGGCTTAGACAATGTCTTTGTCCATTGTAGTTTGCCAAATCACAAAATTTAGAAGAATCAATGTAATTCCTTTATATGACCATTAAAATATTAGTGTCAGAAGTCTAGGTATGCTATGGTTAATATAATTTAAATTAATTTGTAAACGTGACAACTCCATCAAAGGGAGGGCTGTATATTGAAAAAAAAATGTTTGTTAACCCCAAAAAGCCCATCCAAAAATAGTGAGATGATTCTTGTAAAAGGCTTCTGCTTTAGATTTGTAAAATTAGCTTTTTCCCATTGTGTATAAAAATGATATATCTTTCCATTCAAGGAGAAAAGCTATTTTTGAGCTCTGTGATGGATATCCTCTTTCAAATTCAAATAACTAATAACAGAATTGTGTCTATTGTATCAGCCTGGAAATAAGCAAGAAAGAGATGGCACCACCATGCTTACTATTGATGAACTTAATAGAAGGACTCTACAAAGCTTTGAGACAAAATTAGGAGCATCAACAAGGGATAGTGAAACACTTTGAGTTTAGTACAGTTAAGAAGATATTACTTCCATGCTTGCAGTAGCGATGGGAGGGAGCAGTGGGAGAACCCAAGACAGAGAGGGCTAGTAAGTGGAGACCACTATCTGGAGTGGCAACTGCAGATAACCAGCACAGCTGTTAATCAGATAAGCTAAATTTCACCTTTCATTACTTCATCTTAATGTTTCCTCTCAACCTCAGAGAAGGAATAATAAATGGCATAATGGTTAAAGGCACGAATTCTAGAGCCAGACTCCTGGATTCAAATCCTAGTTTTGCCACTTTACTTAATGTATTTGTGCCTTAATTTTCTCATCTGAAAAATGAAAATTTACCTCTTGTTGTTGGAAAGATTAAATGGGTTACTATAAGTAAACTCTTAGAATGCTATCTGACATATTGACAAATGCTATATAACTTTTACCTATTTTATTGGGTCTTTATTTTGATAATATACACAAACAGCAAGTTCTCATGATGAATCAGTCAGTTTTGAAGTCTATTAGCCTTGGGTAGACTCTATGAAGTGAGCAGGTTTCTGTCTGCCCACTCTCTTTGGAAAACCACCCCTCCCCCATTCTTAGGTCAGTCACATGGTTTAAGTTAGGCTGTCCTTTTGCCAGTGAGTGCTCACATACACCTTTCTAGGATGTTGACGAAAGACTTCAATTAAGCTAACTAGACATATTCTTTTGATTATACATAATCCATAATTACACTGGATCCTCTTCACTGGGATGGTTACCTGTCAGGATAATCTAAACTTGGAATTGTTTGTAACCATCTTTCCATTCTCCCTGAGAATGAAGACAGCAAAGAGGAAAGAAGGGGAGGAAATGGAGAATTTATAGTTGCATGAACCAAGAATTTCCTCATCTTCTTATCTTGTAGTCCAAGTTGTGTGTTGTATTAGTCCATTTTGTATTGCTAGAAAAAGGTACCTGAGGCTGAGTAATTTATAAATAAAAGAGATTTATTTTGCTCACAGTCCTGCAGGCTGTATGAGCGTGGCACCAGCATCTGCTCAGCTTCTGGTGAGGCCTCAAGAAGCTTTCAATCATGGTCAAAGGCAAATGAGGAGCAGTCATGTCACATGATGAGAGAGGGAGCAAGAGGGAGATGCCAGGCTCTTCTAAAAAACCAGCTTTCATGTGAATTAATACAGTGAGAACTCACTCATTACAGCAGAGAAGACACCAGGCTGTTCATGAAGGATCTGCCCCCATGACCTAAACACCTCCCACTAGGTCCCACCTCCAACACTAGAGATCACATTTCAACATGAGATTTGGAGGGGATAAACATCCAAACCATATCAGGTGTCTCTCATTTTAACCAAAGTTCTTAATTTCAATTACATTGTATTTTACAGTTAGTACCAGTGTCAATACTTTCTATTTTCTAACTATATTACTAGGCATGAGATTTGAAATATCCCATGTAGATATTGGTAGCTGGAATTTCAAATCTGTAAAAATAGAAATGGCAACAAAACAATGAATCTGGAAGACTACTGTGTTGTCATTAATTCCTTTAAAAAACTGCAGGCTAACAATTTTTTAGTGAAAAGTTTGGGGTGTAAATATTAGGAGCTTTCTATAAATCACCTAATATTTACCAAAAAAATAAAACCTATGAGATAGGTGCTACTACTGATCTGTTTCTTAGTAAGGATACTTAAAGAGGTTAAAACTGGCCAGGCATGGTGGCTCACACCTGTAATCTCAGCACTTTGGGAGGTTGAGGTGGGTGGATAATGAGGTCAGGAGTTCAAGACCACCCTGGCCAAGATGGTGAAACCCCATCTCTACTAAAAATACAAAAATTAGCCAGGCATGGTGGCGGGCACCTGTAATCCCAGCTACTCGGGAGGCTGAGACAGAGAATTGCTTGAATCTGGGAGGTGGAGATTGCAGTGAGCTGAAATCACGCAACTGTACTCCAGCCTGGGTGACAGAGTGAGACTCTGTCTCAAGAAAGAAAAGAAAAGAAAAAGGTTAAAACCAACTCCAGGTCCCTCAGAAATTCTGGGCAAGTAAATCTGTTGGGGTACAGAAAAAGCTTTAAAAGTTATGTTGCATAAATCATGTTACTGACTTGAAAATATACCAAGTACAGGCTGGGCACAGTGGCTCACGCCTGTAATCCCAGCACTTTGGGAAGCCGAGGCAGGTGGGTCACCTGAGGTTGAGAGTTTGAGACCAGCCTGACCAAGTTGGAGAAACCCCATCTCTACTAAAAATACAAAATTAGCCGGGCATGGTGGCACATGCCTATAATCCCAGCTACTAGGGAGGCAGGGGAATTGCTTGAACGTGGGAGGCAGAGGTTGCGGTGAGGCGAGATCACGCCATTGCACTTCAGCCTGGGCAACAAGAGTGAAACTCTGTCTCAAAAAAGAAAAAAAGAGAAAATATACTAAGTACATACTGTTGATTAAAAAAAATAAGTAACAAATATATAAAGTGAAAGAATCCCTTTAATGTAAAATATCATTTTTATATGTATATCTTTATATATTTCTAAGAAGAGATGTCTAGACAAAATTATATGTATTTATACAATTCATATTTTATGTTTGTATATTTTTATAAAGAGATATTTAGAAAAATGCTCACTAGTATGCTATATCTTAATAGACATATGTATAGATATACCTACTTATATATGTATGAAACATTTTATATACTTATGTGTTTCTATATGAAAATGTATACAAAAATGCTCATCAATAGTCCTGGTTTATGGGCTTTCAAGTTATTTTAAACTTTCTTCTATTTTTTGTTTTGTTTGACTTTTTAAAATGATAAATGCATATTATTTTTATTAAAACATACCAATAACTTAGTCTCAGTAACTCCTCACAGACTAATAAATCATGACCTCAGTATCAAAAAAGAAGGAATAAAATACAAAGAATTAGAATTCTGATATAGCAAGCAATGTATTCTCTTTTTATTCATTCATTCAACAAATCTTCATTGGGTAGTAGATATTGTGGTAGATACCTGGGGGAAAATGATAAACGAAGTCGTTTCAGTCTCTAATATTAATATACAAAATGCTTTTGACAGCCAGTTCCAGAGCCCTAATGGAATCTACTGCTTCCATCCATATGCCTGTTACGGCTGTAATTGTGTTTGTGTTTGTGTTGGGGGAGGCAAAGAGATGGGGTTAAGTGGAATGGTTAGGAAGCCCATCGCCCGAGCCATTCACTGTACTTTGCTGACAACCATGAGCAGACAGTTCCTGTAATCCCCTCATGGATAAAGCTAAATGAGATCAGGCACAAGGAAGTACTTTATTTAGGTCACTATCTCCTTTCTCAGAGGCCTGGCTCTGGAAATCTCTGAATACAGGATAATTTATGATTTACACTCAGAAGTAGTGTGTTATGTATGTCCTGGCCTCTATGGGTGCACAGACACCCACGTCCTCTCCCACACTATTCTTTTACACCTTCCATGAAAAGTGTTTATCAGACACATTGCATAATTCAAAGTAAAAAAAATGGGGAAACTTCATTTCGAAAAGGAGAAATTGACAGTGGCTAAGAAAGTTTGAAATGTAATTTTCAGCTCCCTTGACTGTAACCTGAAAAGCCTTGAGGTAAATTCCTTTCTTGTCTGAGGGCTTGGTCCAATTATTTTCTTTCTTTCCCTTCCTCCTCCATCACCCTATCCTCACCCAACAATTTGAAAATAAACTGCTGCTTGGACCTGACAGGCAGACCTATCAGAGCAGGAGCACAGTCTAAATACATATTCTTGATGCTGGGGTAGAAAGGAGATCTAGGAACTTGGAATGTTTCCAAGAACTCAGCAACATTCGAGGAGTTACGAGGTGTTCTGTGTGTCTGTGTGTATAAGTGCCCAGGTTTATTTCTAATGCAATTTTTTTTAGAAGGGGTGCTGCTTTATGACATGACCCTCCTAGGTGGCAAGAGGAAATTTCTCTAACTTGATTTTGATCTTGGCTTTTCTATCTAAGGCCAGTTTAAATGGTTACAAGATGAGAAAGCAGCGAACTCCAGGTATCTTATCATCTAGGGTAGTAGTCCTCAGCCTTTTTGGCACCAAGGACTGGTTTCGTGGAAGGCAATTTTTTTCCTAGACCCGGAGGTGGGAGTGGATGGATGGTTTCAGGATGAAACTATTCCACCTCAGATCATCAGGTATTAGTTAGATTCTCATAAGGAGTGTGCAATGCAACCTAGATCCCTCACATGCACAGTGCACAATAGGATTCACGTTCCTATGAGAATCTAATGCTACCATTGATTTGACAGGAGGTGAAGCTCAGGCAATAATGCTCACTCGCCCAATGCTCACCTCCTGCTGTGCAGCCCAGTTCCTAACAGGCCACAGACTGGTAGCAGTCCATGGCCCAGGCGTTGGGGACCCCTGTTCTAAGGTTAAAATTTTTGTTATTAAATAGGATCATTCAGAAAATGGAGAATTGTTTTCCTTTGCCCAAGAAAATATGACTTTTAGGAGTTTTAAAGTTTTATTAGTAATTGCTCAACTTTCAAGTAACATAATATTTATTTCTAGGTTTATAATTTTCTTCCTTTAAAAGAGTATTAAGGAAGGAAAGTTAATTGGATTTAAGGACTTAGATTAGATGGTCTCTAAGGTCACTCCAGATGGTCTCTTAATCACATTCTGTGATTAAGTGGGTAGGTTTGAGATTTTACTTTATAATCTGTGGAATTAGGCTGGTAATAGTGCTATATTAAAGGGGTGTCTGGGATGATAAAAGGCACTTGCCTCTCTCATGTTAATGGGTAAGATAGTAGGAAAACACCAAATTGTATTTGATAGTTCATTCATATCCCTACTTTGTCTTTCCCTCATTTTTATCACATGACAAAATAAGGGTTAAAAATTAGAGTTATCATATAGCTATTACATATCATCCACAAATCTGGATTCATAGTTAGTATAAATGTCCAAGATCTAAGAATCAGAATTCTGTTACATGGAGTCACATGGATATGATATAGAACAAAGGGCTGTAAAAAGGAGAAGGCATTTCAAGCAGAGGCAAATCTATTCATGACGGCAAAGAGTTGTGCATCGATGTGATATTTAGGTACCTGTAGGTAGTTCATCATGGCTGGACCAAGGGGGATATATTATGTTGGGGAGGAGGCAGGAGGGAATGAGTAAAGGCCAGGGCTAGAGTGGTAGTCAGGGGTCAGATGTGAAGGGCCTTGAGGGCCCAGCTAAGGAATTATGATTTTGTTCTTAAGGCTATGCTGATCCATGAAAAATTATTGACAGACTCTGAGTTGGGAATGACATGTCTGGTAGATAACTGGGTATGCTGATTTGTACGCCAGCTAGTCAGGGGCAGGAGAATTAAATGCCACAGTCATCAGTACATGAATGATCATCTCTGGGTCCTGGGAGAAAAGCGACAGGAATACAATGGTTATACTATGATACACTCGCCTTCTCTTCACCCACCCCAACTCCCACTGAGAAAAATCAAAAGAAGGATGGGACTGAGGAGTTCAGCTCCACCTCTTGCCCCGTGTTAGGAAGGCAGAGAGCGCTCCTTCCCTCCTGGCTTCCCAGGTTGGACCGTGGTATAGCTGTGAAGAGCTCCATGCTTTTCCAAAGCTGCTTTGGTTTTTCGCTTTACCAGACATTATCCACTTAAGAACAGGGTTGAAGGGAGCAGGAGTGGCTAATATTTTGATTTTTTGGAGTCAGAGTCTCACTATGTTACCCAGGCTAGTCTCAAATTCCTGGGCCCAAGCGATCATCCTGCCTAGGCCTCCCAAAGTGCTGGGTTTACAGACATGAGCCACTGTGCCTGGCCTGTTTGTTGTTATTATTTTGTTTTGTTTTCTTGTTTGTTTGTTTTAACGCCATTAAGAAAGCCCAGCAAAGAATAGGGGATATGTTGGTTATAGTCCAAGGACAGATCACCAGACTTTCTTGGAAAGGAAGTGCTGGTAGATTAGCTTAGAATATTTTTGTATCCCAGAAAATCTAGTGCACAGGTCTATGCCAGTGCACATCTGTTGCTACGGCTGGACCTAAGCAATTTTGTCAAGTACAGCTCTTTGATAAATACCAGTATTGAGAGGTGATCACCTTCCAACCTCCCTATCAAGTTAAAGAAAGCAAACCTGAGACCAAATGTTGACCATGCATACGAGATCCATTAAACAAACATTAAGAAGCAGATGTAAAACAATTCATACAGTCCATTCTGTATGCTTAGTGAATTCCTGGCTCTCTGTTCTATTCTGTGTTCTAACAAGACCTAGCATGAAATATTTACTCAAGGCAAATGTGACAATATTCTAAAGGCAGAAAAAAGTTAGATTCATAATCAGTATCAGGCATCCTAAATCCTTTAACTAAGTGGCTGGACGTAGCTTTGTTACAGAATAAATCTTTGGGAGACTTTCCAAAAAGCAAAGGGCTTACTAGAATCTCATATTCATTTGAGGATTGAAGTAGATGTAATATATTTTAGTCAATTCATATATTTTGATTTTCATCATTGAGAATTCTATTTTGAACATCTGTTGTCTAATTAACAGTCCACAAATTTTCACCAACATTTTTCCTAGCATTCATTATGCTAATTTAAGTCTTTGGTATTGATTGGAAATAATGACAGCAGAAAGGCTTGCAGTAGCAACCTCTGGAGTGTGAATGTTTCTGATTAAATGCTAGCTGATCAGGCCTGGAGTGTGACTTCCAGATTACGGCAACAAACTACTCCTATAGTGTCACTTAAACTAATACATGAAGATTATCACATTGTCTGTGCTGAAGTGTTTTAAGTTATAGAGCTCATGACACTTACCTTGGTTAACATCCTAGCCTACTTGCTAGTAGGAGCTTCCCTAAAATCCTCCCATATTCCTGGTCAACTGGGTGGCAAGGACACATAAAAAAAAGTATTAAAACTGGTATGTTACTGGTGCTCCTTTAAAGCAAAGAGAGCACTTTACATTAAACCATATCAAAATGGCCTTGTTACTTTGCATTCACACTGATTAACTGATTTATATTCTACAGGAGTACAGCTTTGGTTGGTAAAATGGTCCAAAATTCAATATGTCAAAGCACAGCATATATTTAATTAAATAATTTGATTAATAGTGCTTTAGAGAGCACACTTGACATTTACTTAGGAAATCTGATTCCTTTGGGAATTGTTTACTGCTAAGACATAAGTATAAATTTATATTAATGTTGCCTTCCAAAAGCAAAATTGCCTTTCCTTCAATAAACAGATCATGTCAATTTTGGTCATTTTTAAAAATCGAGAATTGATGAGTGTTTTCGTGTTGTTTTTCAACAAGGCCAGGTAAAATACAGTATGCCCATTTCACTATGGCGGGATAAAATGACATCTTTTAGTATAGGACAACATTGCAACTAAATGTTTTGGAAACTCTTATTGATATTTTTGTTTAAAAGATTACTTTTTAAAGTAAGAGTAGCTTAGGCTACCTACCAAATCTTTATTTCTTTATTTTCTGATGAGTAATAGCTTTATTTGATTACACTTGTAGTGAAATGTGACAGAATATGTAAATTCAACTTAAAATACCACAGAAATGGTTTTTCTCCTTACTTGAGTTTATTAATAAAGTACAGGACTTCCCACCTCTCTCTATGGATTAGTTCTGCTGTGTAAGGCAACTGATAGACTGTAATTGTATTTGTAAATATTCTTCAGATTGTCCCCTTTGCTACTGATGAGGAAAGGACAAAGAATCATTAGGTAAGACATTACTGAATGAGACCCTAATTACATGTGAACAGTTCTACTGAGCAATTGGGTGTGAAGCTGGAGACAGGCAATGGGTAGAGTAGAAGTAAGGTTCCCAGATAAAATATATAGTTAGTTTGAATTTTGGATAAACAACACATGATTTTTTAGTATGAGTATATATGTATGTGTGGGACATATTTACACCAAAAAATTTTATACCTTATTTACGTGAAATTCAAATTTAACTAGGCATTCTATACTTTTTGTTTGTAAAACGTGGCAACTTTAGGTAAGAAGTGGGGGGTGTTGGAAGTTTATATTTTAATTTCTATTTTTGTCTGCATCTTGAACATTGTTTTTCTAAAAAGTGATCTTAAATGAAAACTTCTTTAGGAAATAATTCTGGACTGAGATTTGGAGGATTTTTTTGTTTTCTACCTAGGACCTTGTGAATTTTTCTTTCTGAAGCCTGTAATTCAAAATGATGAGAAAAAGCAAGCACACTTCAGTTGTTTGGAAATGAGTAACTCAGGGAAACTGGAGAGGAAATGGATGGACTCTAATGCTGGATCATTGGTAAAATCTGTAGATTGTCACACCACTTGAGCTCTGGGAGGCTCTACATTAATTATTTAAAAAAATGAGATTTAAAATCAAATATACTTGGGTCCAACTACAAAACTTATGATGTGACTTTGAACATTATTGTCTTCCCCAATATAATGAAATGAATATAACAGTAGTAATCCTGTCATGTGTATTGAGTCAAATAACAATTATAAAATTCTTGGCATAATACTTGATACACACAAAATACTACAAAAAATGGCAGCTTTGTTCTCATGCCTTTTCAAGTCAAGTGTGTTTTGCAAATAAGTTGGGTATTTATTTTCTTAAAAATAAATAAACAAGAAAAAAATGTAATAATACCAGTTCAGGGAAAATATTTTATTTAATGTATAAATTAGGCTAAGAAATAGGGACAGCCTGTAGCCCCCAGCTGCTCAGGAAGCCGAGGCAGGAGAATGGCCTGAACCCAGGGGGCGGAGCTTGCAGTGAGCCAAGATGCCGCCACTGCACTCCAGCCTGGGCGACAGAGCAAGACTCCATCTCAAAAATAAATAAATAAAATAAAATAAAATAAAATAAAAAGAAATCTATTTTTCATAAAAGAAGAAAGAACATGAACAATTTTGCTTGTGATGTATTTTTTCCCTGTTAAAATTTTCCCCTTCATTGTATTTCTAAAGCTCTATGAATTTTCATCTAAACTCCTCTTTTAAAATATTTCAGTATGTGTCACTGATACGGTTTGGATTTGTTTCCCTGCCCAAATCTCATGTGGAATTGTAACTCCCAGTTGGAAGAGGGGCCTGGTGGGAGGTGATTGGATCATGGGGCAGATTTCCCCCTTGCTGTTTTCTTGATAGTGAGTGAGTTCTCACAAGATCTGGTTGTTTGAAAGTGTGTAGCACCTCCCCCTTCACTCTCTCTTTCTCCTTTTCTGGTCATATAAGACATGCTGCTTCCTCTTTGTCTTCTGCCATGATTGTAAGTTTCCTGAGGCCTCCCCAGCTGTGTATGCTTCCTGTACAGCCTGTGGAACTGCGAGTCAATTAAACCTCTTTTCTTTATAAATCACCTAGTCTCAGGTAGTTCTTTATAGCAATGAGAGAAGGGACTAATACAGTCACCAATAATATTCATTTTCCTTGTTACTAAAAAGCTAAATTTATGTCATCAATAATAATGTCAGATCTAGAAGTCTATGGAATTTCAATGCAGAAATATTATATTCCCAAGTAATCAGAAACCTGTGAGAATTTTATTCTTATTGTTACTATAATAGGATACTTTATTTATTTTTATTTCATTTTAATAATTATTTAAAGTATTGCACTCATCCTAAAACTGATGATACATTGTAAAAAAATATGCTATGATGTGTGATTATTGTAGCTAACCATAACAATAGTAACCTTGTGATAGAATTGATATGATGTACCTATGCTTTTTTTCTCAACTAAATCAAAATATAATAATCTGGTAAGGCAAAGTCTCAGAATCTCAGTGGATGGAATTGCTGTTCCAAGGTAGTGCTCTTTGGGTTTTGTATGAATTAACATCTGTTTATGTTGACTAAACCATCATTCCGATTTTGTGGATGAGATCACCCAATTCATAAGTCCTCCTTTTGTGAACTGAGGAGGCTCAGTGACTTAGAAGAAACCCAATTCTCTTCAACTCCATATCTGAATCTTTCTGGGATTTTTGCCATCTAACTGACAAGGTTTAGGGAAGTATTTTCACTTAATAGGAAACTACATTTATCAGTCATGTCCTAGGTGCTGAGAGTAGATGGACAAAATACTCACACTTAAACAATTTTCAGTTACAGGAAGATGGACCACTGGTATGTATGGTGTGGGTGGAAGCAAGTGTGGTGTAGAAAGGCAAGGAGATAAAGGAGGCAAGGGAAGTCTTCTGAGCTGAGGCTTGTAAGTGAGAATAGACATGAGCCCCAATGACTTGGCAACACCAGCCACTTCCTGAAGGTAAAAGAATTGGAGCAGATTAAGTTAAAGATCTCCATAGAAAATGATTCATCTAGAAGATCGTAAGAGGAAAATAAATAGGCAAATATTGCTTAGACTAACAGCGTTAGAATTTTTAGACATTTAAAGCAAATTCTTCCTCATTAACACTTGACTAAAAATAACAATAGAAATAATATTGGGTACAGTCAGCTGTCCATATCCATGGGTTCCACATCTGTGGATTCAACCAAGCACAGATCAAAACTATTGGGGAAAAAAACCTATCTGTACTGAACATGTACATGTACTTTTTCCTTGCCATTATTCCCTTAACAATACAGTATAATGACTATTTACATAGCATTTACATTGTACTAGGTATTATAAGTAATCTAGAAATGATTTAAAATATACTATATTTTAAATGCTATGTATTTAATATGAATATGCTATAGTATAAAATACTATTGCCATTTTATATCAGGGACTCGAGATTTTGGTACCCACAGGAAGTCCTGGAACAAATTCTCCATGGAAACTGAGGTCAACCGTAATTTATCTGCATTTAATATGTACCAGGTACTGTGCCTAAGCTCTGTGTACGTTATCTGATTTCATACTCACTACAGCTCCTTAAAGGATCATTGTCCCCATTTGGCAGATGAAGAAGTTGAGGCTAAGGGAAGTTAAGGACTAGAGCTCAGGCTAAAACCTAAGTTTCGCTCCTTAGCCTGTAGTATCATTTTTATAAACTGCTCCTCTTTAATTCAAGGGACAGCTTGCTTGGTATTCTTCTTCTCGTCACACGAAGAAGGCAGAATAGACTGAAGAAATCAACAGAAGTTCTTAAAATTGAATTATTAGCATTATCTTCTATGCTCTTTCACCCACACATGAAGAAAATATATGCACTCAGCCACTTACTCAGACAAAGAAGGCTAATAAATGATTTGTTTCTTATATTAATGGAATTAAAAAAAGCAACAGTAAGTCAATTATTTGCCTATTGGCATAGCCCCAGAAAACCGAATCCGTTTGGACGGCTAAAGTGGAAATAGTTGTCTATTTACAACACATTTTTAATGCTCTACTGTTTCAAGTGTTTTTTTTTTGTTTGTTTGTTTTCTTTTTTCCTCCGTCTGAAAAGGAGGTTGGAAGCTTTATTGTAAATACATTGGGTGATGAGATCCATGTCTTAGTGGATCAGTGTTTTAAAGATTTGTAGGTGGCTAAACCTGTTTGGGATAGGGATAACAGAGCAGGGAAGAAGATGGAAATTAGGCAAATACAGAGCCAATCAAATGTCAAGAACCGGAAATGAGGATAATTTTTCTGGCTGTATTTATTTACAACTCAAGCTGCAACATGAACCCATCTGTGAAAATTCCATTCCTTGGGAGACACTCTTAGAGTAGTCTTCAATGTTTCCACCAGAGGGCAGTAATGTCCTCTGCTATATCTTGAGTGGCGGTGACTATTCATCAGTCGGATGGAACAGTGGGAGAGTGATCTACCCAGTCTACATTTAGACTGCAGGGTGAATTTGGTACCAAAACCCAAACAGAAGACAAAGCAGTGATATTACAGCAATAAACATGAGCTGTAAAGGCTTTTAAATCAAAACTACGAACAATAATACATTCGTCAAAGTTGATTGAATCGGGATGGTATTCAAAATTCGGAGTATGGTTAATCCTGGAAGATGCCATCAGCAGTGTTCAGTGAGCATGATGGCAAAATCCTGGTATCTCATGAAACCACAGGAAGATCATCTTTCAGAACAAACAAGAAATAAAGATAGGGCATTTCTTCTAAGACGCTCAAATATCCAAATCACCTTGCCTTGTGCCGTGGGGTAGGTCTCTTGTGTCTAATTACACCTGTCTCTCATTCCACTATTGCAGATTGGTTTAACTGGAATTAGACACTAAGATGGAATCTGAGGTGCAAAATGCTCACAATGGTCCAACACCTGGGAAAGGAGGTGGGAGAAAGCAAAACTGTCGAGTGTATGAAATTGAAATGTGATCCAGGCCTGGCAAAGCCTTGACCAATATGCCTAAGAGTCCTGGTGCAAGGATTGCCCACCAGTGTTCTGTATTACATGAACCTGACTAGGTCTTTATAACCCTGCTTCAGTCTCTCCTGGATGTGAGCTGCCCCAAGAAGGGCTAAGGAAGTCTCTGTAGGAGCTGTGAGATGAAGGCTATGTGAATACCTGAAATGGAACTTTTCTTATTTGTGACAGATGAATTTAGTCTTTGGATGTAAGATAAAGTGGGCCAAAGGGCTCCTGCTTTGTCATTCCAAAAGAGTCCTTCTTCAATGCAGTCATACTGCAATTTTTCTAAGAAATAGTTTTGTCCTGTGATTGTGATGGATTTCCTTTTCCATAAAATTACGTAGCTGAAAGAATGACAAAGGCTTACTCAGCTCAACCTACTCAGTTTACAAATGTGGAATGTGAAGTCTATAAGAGTTAAGTAACTTATTGGCAATTACACAAGTAAGTTAGTAGCAGAGTCAGAATTCAGATCTCATTAGATTACTCAATCCAGTACTCATTCTAATTTGCCAACATGTACCAATCTAGCCACACACTACTGCCAAGATTTTTTTTTTTTTTTGTAATCAGCGACATCAATAATATACTAGCTTCTCTCAGCAGTGGATGACTCAATCTGGAAATCTATTCTGCCCCCATTTTTAGCTGTTGACATCTTTATTTCAAGGCCAAGTTCAAATGCTATCTCCATTCTGTTTGGTTGAATTTTCCTTTACTTGGTAAGGAAGGAGGTATCGGTTGATTCAAGTTTTTTCCTGGTTGGAAGCCAATGGAGAGCAGATTTAATGAAACTCTTCATGCATACCATTAGTGGTGGGGGAAAAAATTAGAAAACTAGGAGCAAGAGGGGAGGAAAATAAAGTATTTAGCTAAAGAGAATTCGAGTTATGACTCAAGCCCATTTTTAAAAATTATTATTTCAGTAATACTATGAAGAGAGCACAGATTCTTTTTTATTTTATCATTATTTTTTAAATTTCAATAGTTTTTGGTGAACAGGTGGTATTTGGTCACATAAATAAGTTCTTTAGTAGTGATTTCTGAGATTCTGATGCACCCATTACCTGAGCAGTGTATATTGTACCCAATGTGTCGTCTTTTATCCCTCACCCCTTTCCCTCCCATTCCCTCAAGTCTCCGATGTCCGTTGTATCATTCCTATGCCTTTGTGTCCGCATAGTTTAGCTCCCACTTACGAGTTGCTGCAGATGCCATCATTTTATTCCTTTTTATGGTTAAGTAGTATTCCATGGTATGCATATACCACATTTTCTTTACCCACTTGTTGATTGATGAGCATTTGGACTGGTTCCATATTTTTGCAGCTGTGAATTGTGCTGCTATAAACATGCATGTGCAAGTATCTTTTTTGTATAATGACTTCATTTCCTCTGCGTAGGTACCCTGTAGTGGGATTGCTGGATCAAATGGTAGCTCTACTTTTAGTTCTTTAAGGAATCTCCACACTGTTTTCCATAGTGATTGTACTGGTTTACCTTCCCACAAATGTGTAAAAGTGGTCCCTTTTCACCACATCCACACCAACATCTATTATTTTTTATTTTTTGATTATGGCCATTCTTGCGGGAGTAAAGTGGTATCACATTACAGTTTTGATATGCATTTCCCTGATAATTAGTGATATTAAGCATTTTTTAATATGTTTGTTGGCCATTTGTATATCTTCTTTTGAGAATTGTCTATTCATGTCCTTTGCCCAGTTTTTTTGATGGGATTGTTTGTTTTGTTCTTGCTGATTTGTTTGACTTCCTGGTAGATTCTGCATATTAGTCCTTTTTTGGGTGTTATAGATTGCAAAGATTTTTGTCCTACTCTGTGGGTTCTCTGCTTACTCTGCTGATTGTTTCTTTTGCTGTGCAAAAGTTTTTTTTTTTTTTTTTTTTTTTTTGGAGACAGAGTCTTGCTCTGCCTCCTAGGCTGGAATGCAGTGATGTGATCTTGACTCACTGCAACCTCCACCTCCTGGGTTCAAGCGATTCTCTTGCCTCAGCCTCCTGAGTAACTGGGACTACAGGTGCGCACCACCACGCCCAGTTAATTTTTGTATTTTTAATAGGGACGGATTTCACCACGTTGGCCAGGATGATCTCGATCTCAAGACCTCGTGATCCACCTGCCTCAGCCTCTCAAAGTGCTGAGATTACAGGTGTGAGCCACTGTGCCCAGCCAGAAGCTTTTTACTTTAATGAAATCCCATCTATTTATGTTTGTTTTTGTTGCATTTGCTTTTGGGTTCTTGGTCATGAAGTCTTTGCCTAAGCCATGTCTAGAAGGGTTTTTTTAATGTTATCTTCCACAATTTTTATGGTTTCAGGTCTTAGATTTAAGTCTTTGATTCATATTGAGTTGATTTTTGCATAGGGTGAGATGAGGATCCAGCTTCATTCTTCTACCTGTGACTTGCCAATTATCCTAATACCATTTGTTAAATAGGGTGGCCTTTCCACACTTTGGTTTTGTTTGCTTTGTCAAAGATCAGATGATTGTAAGTATTTGGCTTTATTTCTGGGTTCTCTATTCTGTTCCATTTGTCTATATGCCTATTTTTATGCCAGTACCATGCTATTTTGGTGAATATGGCCTTATAGTATAGTTTGAAGTTGGGTGTTGTAATGCCTCCAGATTTGTTCTTTTTGCTTAGCCTTGCTTTGACTATGCAGGCTCTTTTTTTGTTCCACATGAATTTTAGGATTGTTTTTTCTAATTCTGTGAAGAATGATGGTGGTATTTTGATGGAAATTTTATTGAATTTGTAGATTGCTTTTGGCAGTATGGTCATTTTCACAATATTGATTCTGCCCATCCATGAGCATAGGGTGTGTTTCCATTTGTTTGTGTTGTGTATCATTTCTTTCAGCAGTGTTTTGTAGTTTTCCTTGTAGAAGTCTTTCACCGCCTTGGTTAAGCATATTCCTAAGTATTTTATTTCTTGCAGCTATTGTAAAAGAGATTGAGTTCTTGATTTGATTCTCAGCTTGGTACATGTTGGTATATAGCAGAGCAACTGATTTGTGTATATTAATTTTGTAACCTGAAACTTTGCTGAATTCATTTACCAGTTCCAGGGTCTTTTTGGATGAGTCTTTAGGGTTTTCTAGGTATACAATCATATCACTAGCAACCAGCGACAGTTTGACTTCCTCATTACCGATTTGGATGCCCTTTCTTTCTCTTGTCTGATTGCTCTGGCTAGGACTTGCAGTACTACGTTGAATAGAAGTGGTGAAAGTGGGCATTCTTCTTTTGTTCCAGTTCTCAGAAGGAATGCTTTCAGCTTTTCTCTGTTCAGTATAATGTTGGCTGTGGGTTTGTCATAGATGGCTTTTATTACCTTAAGGTATGTTCCCTCTATGCCGATTCTGCTGAGAGTTTTAATCATTAAGGGATGCTGGATTTTTTCAAATGCTTTTTCTGCATCTATTGAGATAATCATGTGATTTTTGTTTTTAATTCTGTTTATGTGGTGTATCACATTTATTGACTTGCTGATGTTAAACCATCCCTGCATCCCTAGTATGAAACCCACTTGATCATGGTGGATTTTCTGTTTGATCTGCTGTTTTATTCTGTTAGCTAATATTTTTTTGAATATTTTTGCATCTATGTTCATCAGAGATATTGGTCTGTAGTTTTCTTTTTTTGTTATATTCTTTCCTGGTTTTGGTAGGAGGGTGATATTGGCTTCATAGAATGATTTGGAGAGGATTCTCTCTTTCTCTATCTTTTGGAATAGTGTCAATAGGATTGTTACTAACTCTTTTTTTGCATGTCTGACAGAATTCAATTGTGAATCCATCTGGTATTGGCCTTTTTTTTGTTGGTAACTTTTTAACTATCATTTCAGTCTAGCTTCTTGTTATTGGTTTGTTCACAGTTTCTATTTCTTCCTGGTTTAATCTATGAGGGTTGTATATTTCCAGGAATTTATTCATCTCCTCTAGATTTTCTAGTTTATGCATGTAAAGGTGTTCATAGTAGCCTTTAATGATCTTTTGTATTTCTGTGGTATCAGTTGTAATATCTCCCATTTTGTTTCTAGTTGAGCTTATTTGGATCTTCTCTCTTCTTTTCCTGGTTAATCTCACTAATGAGCTATCAATTTTATTTATCCTTTCAAAGAACCAACTTTTATTTTGTTTGTCTTTGGTATTTTTTGTTTCAATTTCATGTAGTTCTCTTCTAATCTTGGTTATTTCTTTTCATCTGCTGGGTTTGGGTTTCATTTGTTCTTGCTTCTTTAATTCCTTGAAGTGTGACCTCAGATTGTTTATTTGTGATCTTTCAGACTTTTTGATGTAGGCATTTAATGCTATGAACTTTCCTTTTAGTATTGCTTTGCTGTATTCCAGAGGTTTTGATAGATTGTGTCACTGTTATTGCTCAGTTCAAATAATTTTTAAGTTTTCATCTTGATTTCATTGTTAATCTAACAATCATTCAGGAGCAGACATTTAGTTTCCATGTATTTGCATGGTTTCGAGGGTTCTTTTTGAAGTTGATTTCCAATTTTATTCCACTGTGGTCTGAGAGAGTTCTTGATATAATTTCAATTTTTCTTAAATTTGTTGAAACTTGTTTTGTGGCCTATTATATGGTCTATCTTGGAGAATGTTCATGTGCTGATGAATAGAATGTATATTCTGCAGTTGTTGGGTAGAGTGTTCTGTAAATATCTGTTAAGTCCATTTGTTCTAGGATATAGTTTAAGTCCATTGTTCCTTTGTTGAATTTCTGTCTTGATGATCTGCCTAGTGCTGTCAGTGGAGTATTGAAATCTCCCACTATTATTGTGTTGCCATCTATCTCATTCCTTAGGTCTAGTAGTAATTGTTTTATAAATTTGGGAGCTCCAGTATTAGGTGCATATATATTTAGGACTGTGATATTTTGCTGTTAGACGAGTCCTTTTGTCATCACATAATGTCCCTCTTTGTCTTTTTTAACTGCTGTTGCTTTAAAGTTTGTTTTGTCTGATCTAAGAATGGTTACTCCTGCTTGCTTTTGGTGTCCATTGGCATGGAATATCTTTTTTCACCCTTTACCTTAAGTTTATGTGAGTCCTTATGTGTCAGGTAAGTCTCCCAAAGACAGCAGATACTTGGTTGGTGACTTCTAATCCATTCTGCCATTCTGTATCTTTTTTTTTTTTTTTTTTGAGATGGAGTCTTGCTCTGTTGCCCAGGCTGGAGTGCAGGGGCACAATCTTGGCTTACTGCAATCTCTGCCTCCCAGGTTTAAGCGATTCTCCTACCTCACCCTCCCGAGTAGCTGGGACTACAGGTGCGTGCCACCATGCCTGGCTAATTTTGTATTTCTAGAAGAGATGGGGTTTCACTGTGTTAGCCAGGATGGTCTCAATCTCCTGACCTCATGACCTACTTGACTCAGCCTCCAAAAGTGTTGAGATAACAGGGGTGAGCCACCGCACCCAGCCTTTGTATCTTTTAAGTGGAGTATTTAGGCCATTTACATTCAATATCTGTATTGAGATGTGAGGTACTATTCTATTCACTGTGATTGTTGCCTGAATACTTTGGATTTTTTTTATTGTGTGATTGTTTTATAGGTCCCTTGAGATGTATACTTTAAGGAAATTCTATTTTGATGTATTTCTAGGATTTGTTTCAAGATTTAGAACTCCTTTTAGCAGTTCTTGTAGTGCTGGCTTGGTAGTGGTGAATTTTCTCAGCATTTGTTTGTCTACAAAAGACTGTATCTTTCCTTCATTTATGAAGCTTAGTTTCACTGGATACAAAATTCTTGTCTTATAATTGTTTTGTTTAAGGAGGCTAAAAGATAGGACCCCAGTCCCTTCTAGCTTGTAGGGTTTCTGCTGAAAAATCTGCTGTTAATCTGACAAATTTTTCTTTATAGGTTACTGATGCCTTTGCCTCACAGTTCTTAAGATTCTTTCCTTCGTTTTGACTTTAGATAACCTGATGACAACGTGCCTAGGCGATGATCTTTTTGCAATACATTTCCAAGGTGTTCTTTGAGCTTCTTGTGTTTGAATGTCTAGATCTCTAGCAAGACTGGGAAAGTTTTCCTCAATTATTCCCTCAAATGTGTTTTCCAAACTTTCAGATTTCTCGTTCTCCTCAGGAACACCAATTATTCTTAGGTTTGCTCGTTTAACATAATCCCACACTTCTTGGAGGCTTTGTTCATTTTTTTAAAATTATTTTTTGTTTGTTTTTGTTGGATTGGGTTAATTCAAAAGCCTTATCTTTGAACTCTGAAGTTCTTTCTTCTACTTGTTTGATTCTGTTGCTGACTTTCCAGTGCATTTTGCATTTCTCAAAGTGTGTCTTTGATTTCCAGAAGTTGTGATTTTTTTTTTACTTATGCTATCTATTTTACTAGAGATTTTTCCATTCATATCTTATATATATATATATTTTTTTAAGTTATACTCTACCTTTCTCTGATGCCTCCTTGATTGCCTTAATAATCAACCTTTTGAGTGTTTTTTTTCTGGCAATTCAGAGATTTCTACTTGGTTTGGATCCATTGCTGGTGAGCTAGTATGATTTTCTGGGGGTGTTAAAGAACCTTGTTTGTCACATTACCAGAATTATTTTTCTAGTTCTTTCTCATTTGTGTAGACTATTTCAGAGGGAAGATCTGGGACTCAAGGGCTGCTGCTCAGATTCTTTTGTCCCACGGGGGTGTTCCCTTGATGTGGTGCACTCCTCTTTCCCCTAGGCATGGGGCTTCTTGAGAGCTGAACTGCAGTTACTGTTATTTCTCCTCTGGATCTAGCTACCCAGCGGAGGTATCAGGCTCCAGGCTGGTATTGGGGAGTGTCTGCAAAGAGCCCTGTGATGTGACCTGTTATCAGGTCTGTCAGCCATGGATCCCAACAACTACTCTGGTGGAAGTAGAAGGGGAGTAAGGTGGACTCTGTGAGAGTCCTTAGTTGTATTTTTGTTAAGTGTGCTGGTTTTGTGTTGGCTGGCCTCCAGCCAGGAGGTGGTGCTTCAAGACTGCATCAGCTGCAGTTGTATAAGAAGGATACAAGCTTGCTCTAGAGTCATCTTTGGATAAATATTCCAGTTTCTCAGGTGGGGGGCAAGGCCATAGAGCTCCCTAGAGATTATGACCTTTGTCTTTGGCTTCCAGGGTGGGTAGAGAAAGACCATCAGCTGGGGGCAGGGTTAGGCGTGTCTGAACTCAGACTCTCCTTGGGTGGGGCTTGCTACAGCTGCTGTGGGGAGTGGGGGTGTGAGTCCCAGGCCAATGTAGTTATGCTCCCAAGGGGATTATGGCTGTCTCTGTTGCATCACACAGATCACCAGGGAAGTGAAGGAAAGCCAGCAGCCACAGGCCTCACCCAGCTCCCACACAGCCTGCATCCTGAAAGGCTGGTCTCACTCCTACTGTGCTCCTGCAACAGCACCAAGTATATTTCCAGGCAACTGGTGAGCAGGGCTGAGAACTTGCCCCAGACCACAAGTCTCCCAGCTGAGAAAGCACAGCTCCTCAGTTGTCCCACAGAGCCTGCAGTGGCAATCCACCTCCTTCAAAAGTTCTGTGAATTCTCTCAGCTTTCCTGGTATGTTCCTGCGGTAGTTCTTGGAGCAAAAGTTCATGATGTGGGTCTCCACTTGCTGCTCTGTCCCTCCACGTGGCAGCTGCAAGTTAGTGCTTCCTCCTATCAGCCATTTTTCTGATAACCAATCCTCAAGCCCATTTTGAGGCTTATTATGTTATACACTTAATGATGATCATGATGATTACCCTTAATCATAGCACTATTGGCCAGGCGCAGTGGCTCACACCTATAATCCCAGCACTTTGGGAGGGTGAGGCGGGAGGATCACGAGGTGAAGTGATGGAGACCATCCTGGCCAACATGGTGAAACCTTGTCTCTACTAAAAATACAAAAATTAACTGGACATGGTGGTACATGCCTGTAGTCCCAGCTACTTGGGAGGCTGAGGCAGGAGAATTGCTTGAACCTGGGAGGCAAAGGTTGCAGTGAGCTGAGCTCATGCCACTGCATTCCAGCCTAGTGACAGAGCATGAATCCATCTAAAAACAAACAAACAAACAAAACTCCACAACAACAACAACAAAAAACCCATAGCACTATTATCCTATGTTATAGATATGAAAATTGGGGCTGGGATGGTTTATACAGTTTGAGCAAATTTAGGTAGGACTTCCTTTCCTTCCTTCCTTTCTTTTCCTTCTATTTATTCATTCAATCTTTTATTACATATTCATTGCCTATACTGTGTCTAACACTCCAGTGTATATGTGCCTTACATTGGACTGCATTGTATAAGAAGGAAATAACCTTTTATTTCTTAAGCCACTGAGATTTGTTACTTGTTTGTTTTTGGTTTTTGTTTTTTATAACAACCCACAACTGACTAATGCAAAAGTATTGGTCAAATCTGTCCTTGTGACTTCAAATGTTGAAAAAATTAATATATGGAATTATTTCCTTCTAATGTGAATAAAACATTTGAGATGGTGTGGTTACGATGATGGGACTGTATGACAGCTTATTGCAGTACTCACAGTTCTAACACATTTGCTATGTGATATGTTTACTTGGAGATTAAACCACATGCCCTGTGTATTATTCAGGGTGTGTGTATTCATTTATTTTGACCTGGTACTTTTATTCTATTTGTACTATGTACAGAGCTTTGGTCTTCTCATTTCTAATCAGTTTTCTCTTTCTATCTCTCTGTACTCTCAATTGTTTTAGTGTTTAGTCTAGTAGTAGTTTCTAGTCTAGTAGTCTATTTGGTCTTTCCTGAAATGTTTCTTTAATCTTCATGATTTTTTCACAGTTTTATCTTCCTTACATCTTTAAGATTTTCATTGCGTAAATGTTCAATGATGCACACAATTTTTTACTGAATACACAACACTCTGAAAGTCACATTTTAAAAAGCCCTTTAATGCATTGTATTAAGTTCAAAATCAGTGATGCATGTTTAATATTATATGCTTAGCATGTTCCAAAATTAATTTAAAATATTAAGCCAACATGTCCTTAGAAATGCATTCAATTTTTTTTTACCTGACAGTGTCAATTTTTCATATTATCACTGAGAACTTGTCTTTTCATTGGTAGATGTGATTATCTGAAAACTCACTGAGCTGAATCTTGGAAAAAGATAAGAATTTGGATTTTAATTGGTTCTTTAACAGCCCTGTGAAATTAATATATAAAGAAGAAATAAAAAACAGCAAAAAAACTGAAAAACATTGGAAACTATAATTTCACTTACTTTTATTCTTAATAAGGCAGGAAAATAAAGGAATTATAGATTTTTTGGAAGAATAATTATCAGAAGAGAAAGTTTCCAGAGTAAACTCCACTGACTTAGTTCATTTCACGCAGTCATTGAGTAAACTGCCACTCTGTGCTAGGCACTGGCAATACAAAGATCTGTAATATGTGTTGATCAAGGTATGTATGGATGGAGTCAGTGAGAGGTAGATATGCAGACAGGCAATTACAATACAATACTTCATTTCCCTAATAAAGCAAGCCTTGTACAAAGAACAAACATTTGACCTCCTTGTGAAAACAGGAACACTTCATACAGGATGGGCCAATAATGCAAGGACTAATGGGACTTGGTAGAGAGACAACGGCATCCAATACTGGTAAGGTAGTATGAACAGCTCTGGATAAAGACAGGGAAAGCAGTGAGTGCTTGGGAAATTGCAAACGATTTGGTGTGCTTGGAGAACAAAGTGAGAAGTGGATAGGATGCTGGGTGGGAAGGGTGAAGGTGGAGATGACAAGAAAAGACTGTAGGCAATACTACTGGAATATAAGTTTATCCTTAGGAAATGATATGTTATTGTGTGATTTTAAATCAGGGAGTCATAGGATCAGATTTGTGTTTTAGGAAGATCATCTGTCAGTGGTGTGCAGGATGCAAGAAGTTGCCGAGGATGATGGCCGGAGGGTAGCTTAGGAGCCTACTAGCATAGTCCGTGTACAAAATGAGGGACTGACTAGGGGAAGGCTGTAGAGAAACACAGAAACGGAGGAAGATATGAAATATTTAGGAGATAGAATTGAGTGGATTTGGTACCTCATTAGATATAATCAACGGGGAAGGAAAAGGTATCGAGGATAAATGTCAGGTTTCTGGCTTGGTTAATTGCATTCTCAGTGTTTTCACTCATAACAATAAGAAATGCAGGATCTTGTAGACTGAATTTTGACCATCCCCATTCATGTGTTGGAGCCCTAACCCTCAACATCCCTGGGTTTGGAGATGGGGCCTTTAAGGAGGTAAGTAAGGTTAAACGAGATCGTAAGTGTGGGCTCCTAATCTGAGAGGACATATAAGAGGAAGAGACACCACATTTTTCTCTTTCCCTCTTTCTCTTCCTCGTTCTCCCCCCAATATCCCCTCTCTTTCTCTCTCCTCACAGGACAGGCTAGATGCTGACAGCTTGATCTTGGACCTCAAGTTTTCCGAATTGTGATAAATAGATGTTTATAATAAAGCCACCCAGTCTGTGGTATCTTGTTGTGATAGCTGGACCTGACTAATACACAGGGCATGTGGCAAGTTTAAGGGGAAGATGTCTTTCTGAAACATTTGAATCAATCAGAAGTTCTTTTGGAACAACTAAGGAAAGATGTCAGGTAAGTGGATGAATATATCTCTTTGAGTCAGGAGAGTTCTGGGTTGAAGATATAATTTTGGAAGTTACTGGGAAATATGCATAGTAGTGGAAGCCTTTAAAATGGTTATGATGGCTGCCAGTGAACAGGCTGATTCCTTCATCTATTTAGCAAATAACTAACAAATATTTACCATATTCCAGAAATTCTATGCACTTAGAGAGTGAATAAAACACTAATCCCTGAGCTTCTAGAACTTGGAGAAAGACAGTATATGATAACTGTGATATGAAAGCATATTATACAGAATGTTAGAATAGAATAAATGATGTAGAATAAGATAAAGTTAGCTAAGGTAAGAGGAATTGGGAGTGCTGGACTGGGGCAAGGTGAAGATTGCACTGTTTACAAGATAGTCAGATAAAAATGATTTGAAGGAGGGTGGGAGACCGCAAGGATTTATCTCGGTGAAGAGCATTCCAAACAGAGGTAACAGGCGCTGCAAGGGTTTATGGCTGGGATGTGTTGACCAGGTGGTCAGTGTGGCTTGAGCGGAGTGAGTGAGAAGAGTGATGGTAGATGAAATCGGAGAATTCACAGTAGGGTAGGTGTTCAGATCAGGGCTCCATATAGGCTAAGGACTTTGACTTTGAGTCAAATGTGATGTAATTGGGGATTTTAAGTAGAGAGTGATGATAGGCTCTGCCTTATGTTTAAACACATCACTCTGGCTGCTTTATGAGAACATAAACTGCAATAGGGCAAGTGCTGAAGCAGAAAGACTGGCTAGAAGGCTATTCTATAGTTCCAGAAGAAAGATAGATGGTGGTAACTTGGATCCACTTGCTGACTGCAGTGAGGGAGAGAAGTGATAGAATTCTGCATATATTTTGAAGGTAGAGCTAGAAGGATTTGTTTCTGGATTGGTAGAGTTTAAGAGAAAGAGTCAAGCATGAGACCAAGCTTTCCAGCCTTAGCATCGAGAAGTATGGAGTTAGCTTGAAATGGAGCAGATTTCTCTTTTTTTCTTTTTGGTTTCAGTGGAGGGTGGTGGGTGGGGGTGGGGGGGCTCTGGGGGGCAGGGAGTGCAGTGCAGAGAGAGGGAGGTAAGGGAAACTTTTTTGATATGTTAAATTTGCTTGTCTAGTGCATATTGAAGTGCAAATGTGGTGAAGGTAGTTGGATTGTTTGAGTTTGAATTCAGGGAAGAAGTCTGTTCTCAATTTACAAATTTGAAAATTACCAATACATAGATGTTATTTAAAGCCATGAGACTGAATGAAACCCCTTAAGAAGATATTACAGACTGAGAAAAGAAGAGAGCTCAGGCATGAGTCCTGGGCACTCTAATATTAAGAGATTGAAAAGAGAAGTGGAAAACAGAAAAAAAGATTGAGAAAGTATGACCAGTGAGATAGAAAGAAAACCAAGAACGTGTGGTTCCTGGAAGCTGCGTGGAGGAAGCAGAAAAGGGATGAGGGATCAACTATGTCAAATGCGCCTGACAGTCACTTATACAATAACGACTAGGCCGGGTGTGGTGGCTCACGCTTGTAATCTCAGCACTTTGGGAGGCTGAGGCGGGCGGATCACAAGGTCAGGAGATCGAGACCATCCTGGCTAACATGGTGAAACCCAGTCTCTACTAAAAAAATACAACAAATTAGCCCGGCATGGTGGCTGGCGCCTATAGTCCCAGCTACTTGGAAGGCTGAGGCAGGAGAAAGGCGTGAACCCAGGAAGCGGAGCTTGCAGTGAACACAGATGCGCCACTGCACTCCAGCCCGGGTGACAGAATGAGACTCCATCTCAAAAAAAAAAAAAAAAAAAAGTAGTAAAACAGAGGTTCCCAGCCTTTCTTAGTTTATGTCACCCTGGCTGTCTCGGTAGTTTTGTATGGGTCTCCTAGGCCAAAAGAAATACATAACAATTTTGTTTATTAAGTGGCCTTACCCCAAACATTTCATAAGTATTTTTGTCCTATCAACTTAGTAGCCATTTGGAAACCTAAAACATACAAATTTAAAGAAAAAAAATTAATATTTAATTTTATTCTAAAATAACCATAATTACTTTCTAATGAGATGCGTGTACCCGTTGGATATTGTTAGGAATAACACTAAACCTTGGAACCTGTTTGAGAACTGCCAAATTCATTTCCTATTCCACACTGGTTTTTGTACAGTCCTTAACTTTTTATTACAAACACCAGAAACTCAGATCTGCAAAAATACGATATCATTGAAAGGAATGCAGTGCAATCTAACATTGTAATTGTGAGCTAACTTGAGCTAGTAGCTTGGGCAGAATTTGAGAGATATGTTTTCCTTGAAATTTTAAAATATCCCGAGGGGTTCAGTGAGTTTGCTGGCTACTTAGGGAGCCTTGGAACCTAGAAGGAGAACTGAGGTGCTGAGAATTGACCACTGGGTTTTGCAGCCGGATTCATAGATAGGTAGACCATATATTTTATCATCCAAATAGAGATAACACAGGTAAAAATGAAAGGGTGCATTAGCATTATTAAGTGTGATATCTGGAGTAACAGATTGTTGGGGAAAACTGGAACTATTGACTACCTAGTAACTTAGGTGGAAAGGTGGGGTGAGAACCTGATTTGAGTGGCGTTAAGAACGAATGAGAAAAGAGATGTTGAAGGCAATGAGTACTGAAGAAAACTGAGAGTTGAGAACACAGCCTAGTATTTATGGAGCTGACGGAGGAAAAAAGAGCAAAATGATAGGAAAGAAGCAAGAGACAAACCAAAGGAGGGGAAAATTGAAAGGCGGTTGTGTTTGATGGCATCAAATGCAAAAAGCAAACAAAATAAAACAATTGAAATGTATCCATAGGACTTGCAAGAAAGATAAGAACAGTCTTTGTTGACCTATGGGGATTATTAAGCTAACATTTAGTTAGTTGAGGCATGTAGAGAAGAAATAGAGGCAGCTTGTTCCTTGTAAAATAGATGAGTGGGGCAAATGCTAGAAAATGTTGCATGTAAGCAGGCTGAATTATTTGAAAATGTATCCCACACTTGAGAAGCACCTTTTTTTTAAGCATTTGATGTGATGTTATTGTTCATCTTTGTAACTGCTTTGTAATTTTATATGCATTTATGATCATTGAATTTATTCCCGTGGGAAGAAAACCTGAAAAACATTTCAAGGACCATTTAAACTCTCATCTCTTCCTCAGTTCTTTCAGAAATCCTCTGAGATTTACACTTTCTTTCATTTCTTTTTGAGAATTTGTCATTTTGTTTTTGCATTTAGTCTTTTACTGATCTCTTATTTTCAAAGTGTAAGCCTCCTTTTCCCAGTAGCTGTAAACATTCTGAACTGTGACCCTCCTGGCATGCATCAGGGATGCTCTAACCTTGCACGGGCTGCTTATAAAGACCCCCTTCTTCTTTGCTTCAGATCTGTGTTCAAATGTCCCCTTCATAAAGAGGCATGTCCTAGGCATACCTATTTAAATTGCAACCTGTCTGATATGCTTTTGATGTCCCCTCCAAATCTCATGTCAAAATATAATCACCAGTGTTGAAGGTGGGGCCTAGTGGGAGGTGTTTGGATTATGGGGGCAAAACCCTCATAAAAGGCTTAGTGCCATCCCCTTGGTGATGAGAGAGTTCTCTGGAGATCTAGTTGTTTGAAAGTGAGTGGCATCTCCCCCTTCTGTCTCTCTTGTTCCCATTCTCATAATGTGATGTGCCTGCTTCCACGTCACCTTCTGCCACTAGTAAAAGCTCCCTGAGGCCTCCCCAGAAGCTGAGCAATGCCAGCACCATGCTTGCATGGCCTACAGAACCAGGAGCCAATCAAACTATTTTAAATTACCCAGTCTCAAGTATGCCTTTATAGAAATGCAAGAAGATCCTGACACACCTTCCTTCTCTCACCCCATTACCTGTATCTCAATCACTATTATCCTGCTCCATTTTTTCCTAAAACATTTTCAAATTCTGACATATAATTACTTTTATGTTTAGTGTTCATCTTCTGTGTTCCATGAAATAGAACATAACTTCCACCATGGCAGAGATTTAGGAGGAAGAGGGTGGTCTCTTTTGTTCACTGATGATCCTAACAGCCCAGTGTATAAAATATGCTCAATAAGTTACTTCTTAAGTGAATAAATTTGATTTTTATGAATCTCCTTCATCAAGTCTCCCCTGTGGCCTCAATGTCTCCTTTTTTAATTTCAAAGAACTGACTTGAATTGGTTCAGAAATCTGAAAAGTTTCCTAAATTCCCAAAGCCATGACAATTGCTTCCTTTATCTCTCAGTGGGCCGAAGCACATTTCTGTCTAGAGTGGCCAGTCAAGAGCTTTTCTTTCTTTCTTTTTTTTTTTTCTAAGCCTTGAATGAAATGCTTTTTGAAAATTACATGGACTACTTTCATGTTCCACATTTTTATTTAGAATTTCTTTAATTGACTTTTATCTTTTTTATTTGTCCCTTTTGTGTTCCCTTATACTTTTCATACAGCTTGCTGCCTCAAAATGCTGTTTGATGACACTGGTTTAGAAAATAGAAAACAGATTTTTCTTTTCTCCGAAGAAATAGAAAACTTTCCTCTGTACTCCAAGGGATATACAGGAAGAATAGAAATATGAATTTGAACTGTGACTAAGAGTCAGCATGTACTTTCCCTTCTCTGGAAAAAGAAAAGAAAAAAGCTGGAGAAGTAAAGCTCAGAAGCACGGTTGGGTATGGCTGAGTTAAGTAGACTACATGAAAAATAAACAGTCAACAATCTTACAGAGAAAATGAATTTTGCTCTTTGATGTAAGAAAAAGCCCACTCACCTTTATTTTTAAAATGTCCTGAGTTGAGGTAAACAATATCTATTTTTGCTATTAAAAAATTCTATTTCTGTCTGATATTTTTCCCAATTGATAGAAATCAGAAGAACACTCCTAGAGAAATTAACACTAAAATGCAAAAGCACTGTAATAGCTCCTCTTTGATATTATGAATTGACTTTAACCTGATTTGCTCTCTAAATTTCTTAGGTTATTTCTGAATTTTGTTTATAGTTTATTAGCATGTTAAATATTTTTTGTGGTTTTGATTTGCATACATATACAATATTTTGGTTATATTAAAAATAAAATAACTGGTATGTGTTTCCTACCTCCTGATTTGCTTTCTGTTACTGGTATAAGCCTATTTTTACATTGCTGTCAGGCCTGTTTAGTTAATAGGATGTGTTAGCCAGTGTTTTCTGTATATACTTCAGAGGCTTTAGAGTTTTGCAGTTCAGCCCATTGCCTTTTTAAATTACTAGGTTAGAGTGGTTTTAGGTTTACAGTGAAATTAAGCAAAAAGTGTGGAGTTTCCACATACTGCAACTTCTCCCCCTTCCCCTACCCCATCCCTATAATACACAGTCTGCCTCACCATTGAGATGCCCTACCATGAACAACTATAAGCCAATAAATTGGAAAAACTAGAAGAAATGGATAAATTCCTGGATACATACAATCTACCAAAATTGAATAATTAAGAAACAGAAAATCTGAACAGATCAATATCAAGTAACAAAATTGAATCAGTAGTGAAATGTCTCCCATCAAAGAAAACCCCAGGACCCGATGCCTTCACTGCTGAATTCTGTCAAACATTTAAAGAAGAACAATCTGAACAGATCAATATCTAGTAAGAAAATTGAATAAGTAATAAAATGCCTCCCGTCAAAGAAAAGCCCAGGACCTGATGCCTTCACTGCCACATTCTCTCAAACATTTAAAGAACTAACACCAATACTCTGTAAACTATTCCAAAAATTGAAGAGAAGGGAATACTTCCAAACTCAATCTATGAGGACAGTATTACCCTAATACAAAATCAGACAAGGACACAACCAAAGAAGAAAACTACAGGCCAATATCCCTGATGCACATAGATGCAAAAATCTCAACAAAATATTAGCAAGCCAAATTCAACAGCACATTAAAAATACCATTAACCATGATCAAGTAGGATTCATCCCAGGTATGCAAGAATGATTCAAGAATATGGAAACCCAGCTGGGTGCGGTGGCTCATGCCTGTAATCCCAGCACTCTGGGAGGCCGAAGTGGGCAGATCACCTGAGGTCGGGAGTTCGAGACCAGCCTGACCAACATGGAGAAACCCCATCTCTACTAAAAATACAAAATTAGCCGGGAGTGGTGGCGCACTCCAGCCTGGACATCAAGAGTGAAACTCTTTCTCAAAAAAAAAAAAAAATGGAAACCAGTAAACTTGATATATCACATTAACAAAATCAAGCACAAAACCCATGTGGTTATTTCAAAAATCAGTAGCATTTTATACACCAATAGTAAACTATATGAAAAAGAAAGAAAGAAGGCAATCCCATTTATAACACCTAAAAAAATACATAGGAGTAAATTCAACCAAGGAGGTGAAAGATCTCTACAATTAAAAGTATAAAACATTGATGGAAGAAATTGAATGAAAAGATATTTTATGTACAAGAATTGAAAGAATTAATATTGCTAAAATGTCCATATCACTCAAATAATCTTCAGATTTAACACAATATCTATCAAAATACCAATGACATTCTTCATGGAAATAGAAAAAACAATACTAAAATTTATATGAAAACACAAAAGACTCCAAATTGCCAAAGTAATGTTGGGCAAAAGGAAAAAAACTGGAGGCATCACACTACCTGATGTCAAAATGCACTACAAAGCTATAGTAACAAAACGCCCTGCTATAAACATAAAAGTAGACATATGGACCAATGGAACAGGAAAGAAAAGTCAGAAATAAATGCACTCACTTAGAGCCAACTGATTTTTGACAAGGCACCAAGAACATACATTGAGGAAAAGACAGTCTTTTCAATAAGTGTTGCTAAAAAAACTAAATATCCACCTGTAAAAGAAGGAAGCTAGATCCCTGTAGCTCACAATCTATAAAAATCAACCCAAAATGGATTAAAGACATAAATGTATGACCCAGAACTATAAAACTACTAGAAGAAAACATAAAACATAGAGTAATGCTTCATGACATTGATCTGGGTAAGGATTTTTTGGATAAGATTTCAAAAGCACAGGCAACGAAAGAAAACATAGACAAATGGCATTACATTAAATGAAAAAGTTTCTGTGCAACAAAGGAAACAATCAAGAGAGTGAAGAGAAAACTTAAAAATGGGAGAAAATATTTGCAAACTATGCATTTGCCTAGGAGTTAATATCCAGAATATAAAAGGAATTCAAACAATGCAATAGAAAATAGCAAATAATTTGATTTTAGGCGGGGCGTGGTGGCTCACGCCTATAATCCCAGCATTTTGGGAGGCCAAGGTGGGTGGATCAGGAGGTCAGGAGTTTGAGACCAGCCTGGCCAATGTGGTGAAACCCCATCAATACTAAAAATACAAAAATTAGCCGGGTTCAGTGGCGGGTGCCTGTAATCCCAGCTACTCGGGAGGCTGAGGTAGGAGAATCGCTTGAACCCGGGAGGTGGAGGTTGCAGGGAGCCAAGATTGCACCACTGCACTCTAGCCTGAGTGACAGAGCAATACTCTCTTAAAAAAAAATTGATTTTGAAAATGAGAAAAAGGCGTGAATAGATATTTCTTATAAAAAGACATGCAAATTGCTAAGAGGTATAGAAAAAAATTCTTAATATCAATAACCTGTTGCTGTTGCTCCACATCCTCGACATTTTGTGGTGTTAGGATTTTCAGAAAATGATGAGGCATCAAACGCTAGAGATCAATTAGTTAATTTTTAATTTCTTTTTAGGGGAGACAGAGAGAGAGAGAGACAGGAAGGGAGAGATGGGGGGGGAGGGATGGGATAAGGAGTGGAGAAAAGAGAAAGAAGGAGAGGAGAGGAGACAGATGAGAGAGTTCTTCTTTTCTTTATAGAATTTCTTAGTTCTGAGGTTTCCTTGGTATCTTGTTGATATGATTTAGCTCTGGGTCCCCACCCAAACCCTATCTTGAATTGTAATTCCCGTGTGTTGAGGGAGGGACCTGGTGGGAGGTGATTGAATTATGGGGGCAGTTTCCCCCATGCTGTTCTCGTAGAAGTGAGTGGATCTCATGGGATCTGATGGCTTTTTAGTGTTTGGTAGTTTCTCAACTCACGCTTCTCTCTCCTGCCACCTTGTGAAGAAGGTGCCTGCTTCCCCTTCATCTTCCATCTTATGTAAGTTTCCTGAGGCCTCCCCAGCCATGCAGAACTCTGAGTCCATTAAACCTCTGTCCTTTGTAAATTACCCAGTCTCCAGTATTGCTTTATAGCAGTGTGAAAATGTACTAATACACTTGCAGGCCATTCCTGGAAGAGAAAATGTACTTACAAGATTAATAACCATGAAGAATAGCTTGAAAAGGATGGGCAATAAGTAAATCCCTAGATTTTTAGCTCTGTGTAAGCAAGGTTTATTAATAGCATTTACTTAGCAATATTCAATTAGAACTATACACTTCATGGTACATTTACTTCTTCTATTGGCTATTTTTTACCTTCTATTTTTGTAGCACTCAAATTAGGTAAGAGCCTTTCACCATATCTAATACCACCAATATTCAAGATTGATCTAGATATTCTATATATATATATATATATATGTATATATATATATATAGACTCCATTACCTCCCTGTGCATTCATGACTTCTTGAAAAGTTACTATTGTTAACATAATTAATAATAATAAACACATCTTTTATCATCTCACAAACCAAATAATATAAAGGTTTCATTTTGCAATCTCCTTGCAATGTGAATGCATCACTTTTATAGTGCCCAAATTCCAAATTTTACTAATTGAAGGGATTTTGCTAATTGAATTACAAATACTGAGTTTGGAAAATCCACCATAGTCAAGGCACCTATTTCCCACCTGAGGCCCAAACCTAAGTACTGTCTTTAGCAGACTCAAAGGCCCTAACATGCAGAGTGATGTCTGTGAACATCAGGAAGCCTTAGAGTTTTCATTTGGTGATTCATAAATCCACAAGGATGTAAAAAGGGGTTCCCATTGGTTCACGAATTAAAGGTGACAATAGCATCTACTTAATTTCTGGTAATAAAAATAAATAAACAAGTTGCTAATAATTTTGTACCATTTTAAATTGGAACAATGCAGAAGTCTCTGTACTGACTGAATGTACACCATGAGTTGGAAGGAAGTCAAGATCAGAGGAGAGGGGGTGGTATGCTGAGGACTTGGATGTTCCAAGTTACCACTCAGCTAAAGAGTAGCATTAGTATTTTAAAGTTTTTAATATTTAAATTCTCACATATTGTTTATAGTCACTAATGGTTACTAGTTCAAGTCAGAAGCAAAAGGAATACAGATGCTAAAATGGAAAAAAAAAATCGACGAAGACTGAAAAAGTGATAATTCTTTAAATTCACCTAAAGAGGATATTTCCCAGATCTGTGTCTTGCATCCATTAGATCAAATTATTCAAACTTCAAGAAATCTCTTACACTTCAAAAAAACAGTGCTAAAAAGAGAAAGTTAATAGATGATTTTTTTGGGGGGGGGTTATATGGGAATAAATATTTTCCGTAACTGCATTGCATTACTTGAACATAAATGTTATTTTTAAAAAGCCTACAATCCTCTCTTTAGAAATATTTTTCAAAATGTGTTTTAAAAATGTCATAAAATTTAACTTTATGTAAGTATAATCTTAATAAGACCATAATGTATACAGGCACTAAGTTAACTAAAAATACACAAATACTTTAGGCATGCAAATTTGAAAGTCTAATCAAAGACATGGAAAACAATCTGGAAAAATGGAGTGACATCCCATGTACTTAGATGGAATGACAATATTATAAAAATGTCACTTCTCCCCAAATTAATCTATAAGTTAAGTGCAATTATAAACTTTTCTATTGGATTTTTGAAGAACTTAATGAAGACCTTCTCAAGTTTATTTGGAAGGATACAGATCCATGAACTAAGTCGTCTTTAAGAAGGAATGTACAAGCTTGCCCTTCCAAGTTGCCCTTTCTTTTTTTCTGCTATATATATATATATATATATACACACACATATCCACATACATATATAAATAATAAAAATATAATAATATGGTTTTGTCTGAAAGAAGAACCTAAAGATTTTAGGAGTATTTTAAGAAAACCAATTCACTAGAAGCTTTTGGATATGATATATTAAACATCATGGAAAAGAGATAACTTAACATGCACCTCAACTTACAGTCATAGCATGAGCACTGAGGAACTTTCAGCTGTTCTAATTAGGCAAATACTGTTTTGGTCACAAGAATCAGCTTGTATGGTGCCTGTATTTGCTTAGCTAAACTAATAAAGTATCTTTGGTTTGGACTGAGGTCTACTTAGTTTACTGTAACTCTGTTTTCACCTCATTAAACAGTGGCAAGCTTGACTTTCACATTTAGGCGTGAATTGCCAGTTTTGATTTGCTAACAATGGCCTACCCTAAGTGAGAAATTTCACTGAGTGATGTCCCCTGAAGTATCAAGTTCTCACTTAAACTAATGAAGTGCTTAATTAATGAAGCTGCCAATGGCAGTTTCTTTTTGTAAAACATTGTATGCTGTTAGACCATTAACCAGGCTAGAAAATAATCTTACTTTTTTTACACTGGAACCCATTCTTCTTAACAAATAAGTCCACAATTTAAAAGTCTTTGCCTTCATAGTTCCTGGCTGAAGATCATTGAAATAATAGCCTTTGTGGAGTCCTTTTCTTTTAACCAGGGATTATTTTGTGATTCAAATTGTACTTTAAATACAGTGACAGTTAATACTGCTTCTAGGATTTCTAACTAAAGATTGTGGAAGAAATATAAAATGAAGTAACTTTCTTTCAATAGAAAGCCTTCCTTTCTATTTTTTCTGATTAGAAATCAGAAATATATACTCACTAATATATTTTTAGAATGGGCATTCAGGTTGGGCACAGTGACTCACACCTGTAATCCCAATATTTTGGAAGGTCGAGGCAGGAGGATTGCTTGAGGCCAGAACTTTGAGAAGCTGGGGCAGCACAGTGAGACAACGTCTCTAAAAAATAAAAATAAAATAAAGTGGACATGGCAGTGTGCACCTGTAGTCCTAGCTGCTAGGGAGGCTAAGGTGGGAAAATCACTTGAGCTCAGGAATTGGGTTATAACGAGCTATAACTGTGCCACTGCAATCCAGCCTGGGTGACAAAGTGGAAAAAAAGGAAAAAAAAAGTGCATTCAGTGAAAATCACACACAAATTTATGAATTTGAGATGTTGTAAAGTATTTCACAATGTATTATAAATACTTTTCCATGTTATTAAAAGTGTTCAGGCCAGGTGCCGTGGTTCACACCTGTAATCCCTTTGGGAGGCCGAGGCAAGAGAATCATGTGAGCTCAGGAGTTCCAGGCCAGCCTAGGCAACATAGTGAGACCTAGTCACTACTAAAAAATAAAAATAAATAAATAAATAAAAATAAAAATAAAAAAAGCTAGGCTTGGTGGTGTTTGGAGGTGGGAGCTACTTGGAGGTGGGAGCTACTCAGGAGGCTGAGATAGGAGGATCACCTGAGACTGGAAACTATGTAGCTATTTTTTTTTACTCTTGTAATTAATGTTGCAACAAACAATGAAAATGTTTCTTTATGGCCTCTTTACTGAGGTGAACAAAAGAACAACCTGCAGGCTGGGAGTGGTGGCTTACACCTGTAATCCCAGAACTTTGGGAGGCTGAGGCGGGCAGATCATAAGGTCAGGAGTTCGAGGCCAGCCTGGCCAATATGGTGAAACCCTGTCTCTATTAAAATTACAAAAATTAGCCGGGCACGGTGGTGGGAGCCTGTAGTCCCAGCTACTCGGGAGGCTGAGGCAGGAGAACCACTTGAACCCAGGAGGCAGAGATTGCTGTGAGCGGAGATCGCACCACTGCACTCCAGCCTGGGCAACAGAGTGAGACTCTGTCTCAAAAAAAGCAAAAAAAGCAAAAAAAAACACAAAACAACATCAACAACAAAAAACAAAGAACAACCTGCAATGTGCACTATTTGTGGGAATGGGAGAGAGTGTTTCTAATTGTAATTGTAGTTACAATATGTAACTACAATATGTAATAGTTACAAGGAAGCTAGTACTTCATTGGTTTAAGGTGAAACATTATTGAGACACATAATACATATACTCATTCAGACTCATTTGTGATTTTGCAAGAAATCATTAATCAATCTATCTCTTATTACTTACTAGCAAGAATGAGGCAGCAGGACATGGAACTGGTAATTATGACTGGAAGAAAGTTCTGGAACATTAGTTGCCCCAAGTTAGATAGGTCAATTAAGTCCTCAAGTTGGGACTTTAGAAGACACAGGAGAAGTAAATGACTGAAATGGAGGATTAGAGGAGCACTTTTGGAAAATAAATGTACATCATAAATCACATGTATGAATAAATCACATCATAATAAAAACTATGATATGAATGATTGGAAAATCAAGCAGGCTTTCAACTTAAACATTAGTAACTTTCAATATTGTAAGTTGGTAATATTATGGCCCTGATTAATTTTAAGATTAAGTCACCTTGCCAGAGGTAATAAATATTTGTTTGGTTTGTCAGGTGTTAGCTATGGTCTGAATGTTGTTGTCTTCTCAAAATTCATACTTTGGAGCCTAAATCCAGTGTGATAGTGGGGCTTTGGGGAAGTCATTAAGTCATAAGGGCTCCACCTTCTAGTCAAGAGAGTGGGATTGTGCCCTTATAAAAGAGGCCCCACAGAGCTCTCCAGATCCTTCCACCATGTGAGGATACGCACCAGGGCACCATCTATGAAGCCCTTACCAGACATCAAATCTGCGGGAACCTTGATCTTGGTTTTCTAACCTCCAGAACTGAGCAGTAAATCTGTTTTTAATAAATTATGTAGTCTAAGTTATTTTGTTATAACAGCCTAAATGGACCAAGACCCCTTCCCACTCAAACAAATAAACATATATATAAATATAATATATATAAAATAATATATGTCATATATTATTTTACATTTATATAATTTACAAATATATAAATTATATATAAATATATATAATTACATATATATTTAAGAAATTACGTATATATACTCAGTTTGCAACCATATAGATTATGAGTAAGGTGCAAGGTGGCTTTGATAGGAGGAATACTGTCAAATAGGTGTCCTTAGCTTATTGGTCCTGGCATCACTGAATAAATTTTGACTCAAAAAAAGATTTGACTTCTCGTTATATAGAGTATTATTTGGGAAATGACTCCCAATGAGTTCTATGAATAACTTGACTTGGAAAAGGGGAATACTAGAGTTGTTGGTTAAAGTTTGGCTTGAAGTTTAGTAAAGTTTATTATTTATATCTGTGACTGGGGAGTAGAATAAAAGATCCATTAAGAAAAATTTGCCTTTGTGGGCCAGCCTGGCTTATTTCACTTAGCATAATGTCCTCCATGTTCAACTATGATATCACAAATGACAAGATTTCCCCTGTTTTTAAGGCTGAACAGTATTCCATTGTGGTTATATCCCTGAATTTCTTTATCTATTCATCAAATGACAGAAACATAGGTTGCTTTCCTATCTTAGCTATTGTGACTAATGCTGCAGTGAACATAGGAGTGCAAATATCTCTTTGGTATTCTGATTTCAATGCATTTTAATATATACCCAGAAGGGGAATTACTGGATCACATAGTAATTCTATTTTTAGTTTTCTGAGGAAACTCCATATTGTTTTCTATACAGGCTGTATTAATTTACGTTTCACACTTTCCCAGGGGAAATGCACCAGCAGTGCATAAGGGTTCCCTTTTCTCCACATCCTCACCAACATTTGTTATCTTTTATCTTTTTGGTAATGGACATTCAAACAGCTGTGATGTGATATCTCATTGTTGATTGCATTGTTCCCCATAAATATATACAGTTATTTGTCAGTTAAAAATCAATTAAAACAAATTTAGGGGCCAGAGAGGAGTAGACAGTATATTGAAAGATAAGTCTGGAAAGAACATTGCTAAATTTGGAGAAGTGAAGTAAAACACATTTACTGAGATCCTGCAGGACAATTTTCAAAAGAAGCCTTAAGCCTGGGTGGTGATTGAAGCAGTTTGAGGTCCCTCCTTTTCTCCCTCCTTCCTTTCTCCCTTCCTTCCTTTGTCAATACTCCCATATATCGAGGTGTGGGTATGGGTCAGTGGATAGTTAAGTCATTTTTCCAGTTTGATTATTTCTTTAGGTAAAATATTTAAGTTCAATAAAGTGTTAAGTTGATACCTTTATCTTTCTGCTGCCCTCAGAGGGTGGAATTTATGAGAGACACAGGTTTTCTCAATCTCAGCATAAAGAGCTGCTCATCAGTCATCACAAAGTAGCAATGGGGATTGGGGGGTGGGGGTGGGAGGATATAAGACTGAGGCTAGGCTGCTGTTGAATTTGCTATACTTACTGAAGACTCTCAGATCTATGGGCTTCTGTTTATGCTCCCCCCTGGGAAAGTGTGAGAGTGACTGACTTAGATTATATTTCAGAAAAAGTGTTAAAATAAAAAAAACAGCAAATATTGCAGTGGATTCTTCGTTGGAAGTTAGATTTTGTGGATTGTCCCTTCTGTTCAGTAGGATATGCATTTACACATGCTTCTAAGCATGTTCTGCTATATCTATTCCTCTATTTTTCCCCCCCACACTGGAAATTTGTAATGGAAATTGTAATTTATGTTAAAATATAGTCCCTTATTTCGTTAGGAGTTGGCAAATGATGACAGCTTACTTTCAGTTACTGTCATTTCTTATTTGCTAAAATATTGACCTTTTTTTTGAAAAAAAATTCAACCAATATTTAAAAAATACCAGCAGCTTTAGCCTACTATTAGATGTAGAGGTAATAGGAGAATCCTGGGCATGAAATGGAATTTGAGTCTGACTAGAAATGCATTGATTTCATGTTACTATAACCCAATTAAACTCCCTGTGGCTTGGCACAGCTGTACCTTGTTGGCGTGGATCTCCTTTGTCCTCCCACTGCTCCTGGGGATTTCTGTTCATGACGCTTATCACCCTGCTTTGTCTGGGAGGACAGGATTTGTGTCTGTCCTGTTCATGTTATGTCACCAATATCTAGGCAGCATCTAGTCCATAGTAGTGCTCAGTACAAATTTATTCAATGAATAGATTTATTAACTTTTAAAAATATATTTCCTGAGCAGAAATTATAACTAAGAAATATCTATAATGGAAGTATATATAAATGTGATGAAAAAGGTTTTTGAATTATGTAAGGATCTGGAAAAAGAGAAACTTATGTGTACATATGTGTGTGTGTGTGTGTGTGTGTGTGTGTGTGTGCGCGCGCCCATATATATCCCTCCCAGATTTATTATATTGTTCAAATGCACATGATAAATAAAAAATACCTGTCACCTCTCTCCCTCCCCATTTCTCCATCAACCAACCACTGGAATATTAAGGATGACATTGAAGCAATTACTAATTTAGCTCTGACTTTCTTTCCCTATATCTGTTGTATTATGAGATCCAGCCATTTTCCTTATTAAACTGCCTCCTGAATATTCCATTTCAATATCTTTCTTATTTAGATTTAATATCCAGAATGCTCTCACAAGCAGTTTTTCTACTTAAATACGCTGAACCCTAGAAATTGATGGATGTTTGTGATCTATATGTCAATGTGAAAAATGAGAGACAGAGCATGTTAGGATTTCTGTTTATATAAGCTTAAAATAGCAGTACACTGTTAACATGTTTGAAAAATATGGTGCCTTCTATAATCAGCATAATCTGTTAATGAGATTGTCAAAAGGGTGATTATAATCAAGTTAGTAAATCTGTACCACAGTAAATATTTAAGAAATTGCATTTTTATTGTAATTGGAGTTTTAAGATAAATTATTTTAATAAACTTTTGAGGAGGAATCTGATTTGTCCTTAGGGTTTCATATGATCAACAGTGATATAACACAGTCTACAAAGATTGCAAAACCATATAATTCTTTATCCTAAGGAATTAGAGAGGGTATTGCAACTAATTAACTTGGATCACAGCATAAATTTCTTTTTACGCATCTGTTCCTTTCTTTGAGTGTATTGAGTAAATAAAAAATAAATAATTAAAATATACAAATACAGCTGGGAATGTTAAGCATACATCTAGGATATAGATAAATTAGTATAAGTGTACATATGTAAATTTTTCTTATCCAGTGGGAAATAGCACGGGAGCTAGACATTTATGAAAATGTTAAGTTTATGACAGGATATTTGAACAAACTCTTATTGCAAGTCATCTCTTATTTTAACTTAAAAAACAATTATTATTACATATGTAATATCATATATAAGAGCACATTCCTAGGAATATTCCTAACTTTCAGCAAATAATTAAGATTTTCAAAAATTATTTTTTGAAAACACACTGAATTTGACTCTAACACATATTTAAAATTTTAATAAAATATACGCTGTGAATAATTGTGTAGTTAATGTTCTTGACCATTTCCTACTTTGTCACACTACATATAAATCATCTAAGATTTTCTTGTATCTAAGGTTTTCCCATTCTGTCTGAATCTTAAATATTCTATCTCATTTTCCCCATAAAAGAAAATTAATTTGTTATATGTTTGTCTCAATTTTTAATTTAAAAATATGGGTACCAAAGATATATGAGCTTGACAAATTTTTAAATATGTAGAACATTTTTTAATGTAAATATTTTATTGCATTTCCAAAATATCTAATTGAAAAGTGGCTAAAAATCAAGTTTCTTTATTTCATTTATACTATTTACATGAACATTTCACATTATCCACTTGAAAAGTAGTGTTGTAAAGTGGCAGTATATGATAGACATGTGGGCCGTGGTTTTCAAGAGCCCTGGTTGGGTCATTCAGATGATAAATCCAGGATGATTGGTTTGCCAACAATAATATTCAACAGGATGATAAATGTAGTGCTCTACTTACTGAATTTTAAAATATCTCTACCCTATTGGATGTATATTTCCTTTACAGAAGCTCTCTTGTATGTCTTCATGTTATAGAGGGGGAGGGATTAGGTGATACACTAATGTCTCTGTAACCAAGGACTCAGTGTTCTCAAGGCATTTTCCTACCAAAATCATTGTAACTTGAACTAGAAACAGAGACAGTACTACAACACAGCAAACATGCATTTATCTTTCTACCCACATTTCAACAACCCCATTGAAATCATAGACGTGTGGTTCAGCTATGGTTCAGACACCAGCCCTGCTATTTGTGCTGGGATTCTGAACTTCTCTATTCCATTCTGAATTCTGCTGTGTCCAGGCAGAATTTGCTACAAGGAACCAAGTTCTCAGGAAGCTACCAGTGGAAGTATCAATATATTTGCCAACAGACTCAGTTTCCCCCTTAAGGTGATTAAGAGATTTTTATGTAAAATTCTGAGAAACAACAAGTTTGTCTTTGAAAAACTTCTCTTGTACTTTTCACTAATGTTTGATGTTAACTGCCCCCCTTCCTTCCCTCATGACTGGACTCCAGGTTTCCTGTACAGATTATTAACAAAGCCAATCAGCTGGTGTGAATGAACTAGTGGAGGGTCCTTTTACATCTCCCAGGATCCTTCCTTTCCACTTAGGAAAAACTTTAAACTTTTCCTTTTCCCTTTCTTAATTTAAAAATTACTTCCAGTAAAATACAACTCCTAGTCCTTGTAATCCTGAAGCTGAGTCTTCCTGGTTGGGAGAAAACATTTTTTGCTATGGCTTGTTAGTGTGAGGGAAGGACACTGGAAGACAAAAACAAACAAACAAAAATAAACAACAAAAAAAAGCTTATCATCTTATGACTCTGGTTAGCTTGAGTGGTCCTCTAAGTAAACTCTCTCAACCCTAACTATATTGCTCCCACATTCCAAGCCAAAGTACAGTGACTGAATTGTCAATAAGAAATAGCTTAAAATACCCTAAGAATTGAAATTTTCAAAGTTTTGAAAGAAAAAAAATTATAATCCATTTGAAATTTCTTTTGTCTAGTTCTTAATTCCCTTAGTAGCTCAAGGGACCTAGATCATGTCAAATGAAAAACTGTCTGATTATTCATTGATGTTTGCATTCTTAGGCTATTGTTATAACAATGATCCTCATCTCACTCCCCGGAAATAGACAGGGCAGGTATTATATCCGTTTTACAGATGAACAATCCTTCACTTATAGAGATTAAATGACACACCCAGACTGCCACTGCCAAGGGAGAGCTAGATTAAACCCCAGGCCACCTGTATGCTAATCTCATGTCTTTCCATTAAATGGTAGTGCCAGCCACTGGTAATCTTGTGAGAAAACCTTCAAGGAGTCCCTCTTGGCCTGGGTTATACTTCATTGCTCTGTAGAAAAAATTCAAGGCCAAAACAATTTATTCAAATAGTTCTGTATAAATACATCACATTCCATGAACAAATATCACTTTCCTGGGACAGTGAAGGCCATAAGACTCCTCCATTTTTGTTCCATGGTTCTGGCAGGTGAGTAATTTAACTTTTGATAATTTTTAACACTTTTAAAATCAAAATTAGTACAAACTTTAAAAGAACTAGTAGGCTGGGCACTGTGGCTCACGCCTGTAATCCCACCACTTTGGGAGTCTGAGGCGGGAGGATCACGAGGTCAGGAATTCATGATCAGCTTGACCAATATGGTGAAACCCCGTCTCTACTAAAAATACAAAAATTATCTGGGCGTGTTGGCATCCACCTGTAATCCCAGCTACTCAGGAGGCTGAAGCAGGAGAATTGCTTGAACCTGGGAGGCGAAGGTTGCAGTCAGCCAAGACCACGCCACTGCACTCCAGCCTGGGAGACAGAGCAAGACTCCATCTCAAAAAAAAAAAAAAAAAAGAACTGGTAAATCACCTATCTAACACTTAGTCTTTAATATACTCCTATATGCTCTACCTTAGCTTAGACAATAATCAAACTTATAAGCTAAGCTTTACCATTGCTGTTTTAAATATGATCAAACTAAAACTTAGAAAGTTTGAGTGGCTTATCTAAAGTCATACAGCTTGAAAGTCCCAGAGCCATGTTGACCCCAGGAACACATCCCTGCAGTTGGTGCAGAATAAGGAAGGAGAACTGGAAAAGGGCAGTGAGGCAGTGAGGAGACTTTTGGTAACACATAGGAGAAATTGAATGAGAAGCTCATGTAGACAAAGGATAGAAAGCATAATAACCTGAGTACAGACTGAAATGATTGCAACAATAAGGGTAAGTTAGGATGAGGGCTAGATGTTTATGCATGAAGCTATTCATTTAATGATAGTATTTGGTTGGTTTGAATTTTGAGAAACAGAAGTGAGGGAATGAAGTTTTCTATTAGTTGAAGTTGGCATTTTGTTTTTGGAGTATTGTAAGAATAAGCATTTCCAATTCAATCATGTAATATGGAGCAGTGATCCTTTTACTCCAATTTTCATACCCCTGGGGATGTGTGATGTTTTTCCTAGGGGTAGATGGCTACAGACAGCTTTGGAGAGCACGTACACATTTATGGGCATGTTGTTATGTGTAGTTTGATAGATACTGTTAAATTCCCCTTACTAGGGATTGTGCAATATTTTATCTCCATCAGCAATGTACATATGACGGTGCCTATTTCCCAAAAAGGTATATGGATCAATTTGATAGCCAATTCTGAGGCAGGTGTTTCATGAACCTTACTTGCAGAAAACACAGTTTAGAAATCATTTATAACAGAACCAAAAAGAGATCAAATGTTGCTTGTGACTGCTATTAAAATATTAATTAAATCATGACTATGTTCAATTTTGTGATTTTGGAGCATAAGTGAATTGCATCTGTATTCCAATGTATTCAATTTATGGAGGACAAAGATTAGTAATCCATGAAGTTGATTACATTAGTAGAATAAAATCCCCCAAATATCAACACTGATATTTGCTGAAAATAATCAGTACTGGCAGCATAAACCTAGGATTTTTAAAAAATGAAAGCCACAGAAGAAAGGGGATGAACAAATATATCAGTATTATGGCTTTTTTGAAGGTCTGGTATCTGTTAGCTTTGAGAAAGCATGTATAGACATTTTGGCAGTATTATTATTGGAAGCCTGATAACTGGTATCCACTCCGTAAATGAAGGAAGGCATAGCAAATAGGAAAGAAATAATTATGTTGACTTTTGTGAAATCCATTTGGTAATATTTAGAAGATGATAATGAGTAGACAACTAAGATTGAGGAACCATAAAATATGTGCATGCTGAGAATATTACAAGTGACTAAATAATAAATGTTAGTGCTGCATTTTTAAGGGACAGGTTTTTGTTTTACTCAGGCTGACAAATTTATAGTACTTGTTTTGTATCCACCAGCTATTCCACTTGCAATCTAAGTATTTTGAGAGATACTTTTTTTTTTTTAAGTTCTACAAGTGTCTTGATTGTAATACGTTTTCAGGTTATCTTTTCATTTACCCTGCCCTGCTTTCCTTCTTGGTTCAATTTTAGTCCAGCCAGTTAGTTCAAGTTCATGCTCAGCATCTGTAGCTGCCCAATTACGTAAGGACTGTCACCCTGATCCTGGAGTTTCCCAAGACAGATGTTTGGCCAGGAATTGCCGCTGGTCTCCATCTAAAATGCCAGGCATCCCATGGTGTTTTGAGAAAATTGACTCATGCTCTGTGGCAGCGTCCTCTGAACAAACTGAATGTTATCCAGAGTCAGGAGCAAATGAAGTTTCCTGTACCAACTGTGGATGTCACTGGTGTGTTGCTGACAGTAAGGTTCCATGTTGCTTCTTTTTCTTTTTTTCTTTTTTTTATTTTTATTTATTTATTTATTTTTTATTTTTTTTAAATTTTATTATTATTATACTTTAAGTTTTAAGGTACATGTGCACAACGTGCAGGTTTGTTACATATGTATACATGTGCCATGTTGGTGTGCTGCACCCATTAACTCGTCATTTAGCATTAGGAAACAAGAGGCTGCTTGTGCCATGCGGTTTCCCATTCAGAAACGCATTGATTGCCACCCTCAACCAGGAACCTCTCAAGAAAGCTGTGAAGCTAGAGGCTGCTTCCAGTGTTCCACAACCACTACCGACATTCCTTGGTGGTTTTACCCAGCAGATGGTTCATATGGCTACACCATAAATGATCAACCTGAAAAGACAGATCCAGGATGGAGGTATATATTTTCAAGAACTTTTAATAAGCATTTCTCTCATCTAAAATTTCTGATCTATGCTCGTGGGTTTATTTGGTTCAGGATGACCTGTCATCCTCAGACATTACATTCTAGTTATGTTTGCCATAGCCTGGGAACGCAGAGCCTTCATGGTGAATGAAAAAGCCAAAAATGCATGGCTTTTTGCTTCCTAATCATTGTCAACTCAATTGTTGAAGAGGAGGTTACACTTTTTCTTCTTTCTCAATCAGTTGTGTGGGCCCTGCCAAATAGCCAGAAAGACTCATTATTTTGTGTAGAGAGATGACTCATTGCATACAAGTTGGGCTAAGGTAAACTTCTTGTCGTTTATGGTATCATGTAAACCTTTTGAAAAAAAGCTTTCTCTTTTTGCATATTTTTGTGAAGCATCAGACAGCATTTAATTTTCAGTGAAATGACATAAAAACCTAAGAATGGAAAAGTACCCTTAACAGCAACTATTTTATAACATCTGAAATCATACTCTAAAGTAACCAGAGTACTTATTCTAATCAATAAGTACAAAAATAACTCAATTACAAATATTGTGTTTAACTTCTATAAGAAAAAAGATACTCATTTTTTGTTAAGATTCTCAAGAGAAAAGCCAGATTTAATGTCGAATGCCACTTAAAACATTTGTCCAAGCACTGATATTTGGAGACTAGATTCTCGATTTTGATATGTTGGATATTTTTCTGGGAAATGTATGGAATGTATAAAATTGTGGCATTTACTTAGTTGGAGCTGAGCAGAGTGTTCTGAAAGCTAACTTCAATTTCTGTTTGGAATCTATGAGCTATTTTCTCTTTACATTGCATGACCAGGGCTTGAGAAATGTGTCAAAATCTGTTTATAATTACATTTCTTACTGGGCAGTAACGTAAAATTGAATGATGATGCTTAGGAGAAGGGATTTGGAGGACCATCCTCTTTAAGGACAAAGGCAAAAAATGACTATAGAGACACAAGCAAGAAGCAGAAGAGTAAAATCTGGGCTGAGAGGAGCTGATTTATAATAGGAAAGAACAGGGTAGTCTCAGAAATACAATGAATTCCAAATTGAAAGAAGAAAAGAAAAATATCATTACATTTCATTTTTATTGCTCCTGGACCTTGAAAGTCCTCTGCTTTGAGGAAACCAGCCTATTTTACAGACTTGAAAATAGAACTTGATTGAGCTAACTTATATTATATGCTATTTTCTGTTATTCTAAATTTGCCATTGGTTTGAGTTTTTACAGATTTTAGCAGAGATCATTATGGGAAACATTTTGAATACTGATTAAAATTTGAAGTTAAAAGAAAGATTTCAGGAAAAGTAAGAGCAGTGAACCATAAAACTGAATAAAATAAATAAATATCAGATAAATTAAATCATTAACAAATTAAATTCTGACTGGGAACAGAGGTTAAATGGAACAGAATTGCCTAAGAGGTAGAAGGACTTCGAGCAATTCACAAAGACAGATTGTTAGCGTCTTCCTAGTCTGGGCTGCCTCTGGCTTATTTGTAATGCATACCTAGACTGGCACTTAATTCTGGGCCTGGGAGAGCTCATTATGTCCCAATTTTACCATTGGATCATTTTGCTTACTGATTTTAGACAGCTCCCAAATCGTAATGGATTCTTTGTGAATCAGGTCTTTGGAAAGAATCTTCCAGAGCAAAACAATATGAGGAGCTTTGCCACACTAGACTAAAACTTGTGGCCCTCACTAAGAATTTACCTGAGGAAATGGGCCTCTGTCCTTGAACCTGAAATTGGAAAGCTAGTTGGAATGGGTGAGTGGGTGGTGGTGATGGAGGTGACAGTGGTGACGGTGGTGTTGATTGGAGGTTCCAGCAGCTGAGATGTGAGTGACCATTTCACACACAATTGTGCAGGGTGAGGAAGGAGGATAGCGCTAGGAGGAGAGAGGCTGTGCCTGGAGCTTCAGCGATTACCCGTGGCTGCCCATTGATGCTTTCCAGGGCAAGTTTTTAGAAGTCGTTGACGACTGACCGAATATGACTAGAAGAAAGACTGCCGTTCATTATTTCATTCTACTACAGAAAAGATTGTATTGTAATCAATTAAATCAGAGTTAGATGACCAATTTTTTAATCGTTGCAGTTTTTCCTATTCTTGGAGATACACTGTGAAGGGAATTAGATTTTTCTTATTACCATTTCAATATCTAACATCTACATTTGCTTTTACTTAAACATTTTAATTTTAATTTTCCTTTCCTCATTAGAATAAATTGTTTATTTCTCTGTTTATCAATATTCTTTTAACCTAAAGAACTACATTCATTTGTAAAAAATAAATATGTTTTGAGCTAATAAAATTGGTTTAATCTATAGGATAATATTAAGCAAACGTGACACTATATCTCTGTTTCAAAATGATATTTCCCCAGTTGCAATGGATATAGAATTTCATACTTCAGATTGGCTCCAATTTAAGAAGGGTAGAACTGATGGTCTGTATTTTTCATGAATACACTGTTTCTTAATGGAAAGTTTCAAATATCATAACATCATTTGATTAAGTACTTCATGGTATCTCATCTGGCAGTAACTACAAATTTCCCATTTTACTTATTGATAACATTAAAACTGAACATAACATTAGAATTAGATCATTTTAAAAAAATTAATACAATTTTTGCTCTTCTAATATATTTTAGCTTTATCATTCTGGTAGCAAATGATTTGAATTTCCACTCAATATTGATTTTCCCTTAAATGAGGCTGCTGATACAAAATATAACATGAAATTGGTAAATTAAAGGTTATCTCAATTCTGAGTTATAAAAAAAAAGACGGCCAGGCATGATGGCTCACGCCTGTAATTCCAGCACTTTGGGAGGCCGAGGTGGGTGGATCATGAGGTCAGGAGATCGAGAACATCCTGGCCAACATGGTGAAACCCTGTCTCTACTAAAAATCCAAAAATTAGCTGGGTGTGGTGGTGCATGACTATGGTCCCAGCTACTCAGGAGGCTGAGGCAGGAGAATCACTTGAACCCGGGGGATGGAGGTTGCAGTGAGCTGAGATCGCGCCACTGCACTCCAGCCTGGTGACAGAATGAGACTCCGTCTCAAAAAAAAAAAAAAAAGAAAGGAAGAAAGAAAAATGACAAAGACAGTATTTAAGTACAATGTGTGCTAATATTATCTTAGTTTTGTCCTTAGAAACAGCACATGCCTGGGGAAGTTATGGAGGTTATGCAATCAGCAAACTTAGAAACGTGTTGCTTAACTTCAAAATTGCGTGGTGAGTAGGAAAACTTTTGCATGTAACTTCTTGTTAAATTGTGTACTCAGAAGAATTGAATTGTAAGGATGGTTGACATTCTGTTTTAAAATTATGTGTTCCTTTTCAAAATTCTAATTGAACTGGTACATGGTACATGTTCAGTAAGTATCAACTGTTATTATTTTCACTGTTATTGTTATTAATCAGTGATGATATTCTTGACCATTGTGGCAATCAAAAACATATACTTAATAGTTCAAAGTTATAATGACTATTTGAATTATAATAGGACATATTATATATATATATATATATATATATATATAGGACATAATTACAATAGTAGGACATATTGTTATTATTATACAAAAGAATATCACGCCAATTTTTGCTTTGGATTTCTAAGTTGATCTACATAATTATGACTACCCACTTCCTTTCAGTATGTCTTTGATATGGCTATGGCTACACAGAAAGTAATGCTATGCTTCGGGTTCTAATAGTGCCACACAGCTTTCAATGTTTAGACAGCTCACTTAGACATCTTTATTCCATGGGGATACACTGAGTTTCTAACTGTGATAGATTAAAAATGGCCACAAATACTTTACAGGTCCTCCCATCAAAAGGTGGGGTCTACTTCCTCACCCCTTGAATTTGGGTGGTCCTGCATAATGCTTTGACTAATAAAATGCAAGGTACACAACCTGTGGCTTGCAAAGCTGGCCTCAAGAGGCCTTGCAGCTTCCTCTTTTATCCTCTTAGACCACTTTGGCCATCATGTAAAGAAGCCTGAGATGAAGTCTACACAGAAAGAGAGATCTAGTCATTTCACTGGTTCCAGCCATCCTAGGTAAGTTTCCAGACATAGAGTGAGGCCTGTTGTACCATCCAGCCACAGCATACTGACAGCTGGTTCCTTTCTGACTATAAGATGCGTCAATCCTAATTTATGCTCTTATTAGTGGTAAGACCAACAAGAATCATTGCCCAGTCAGCTCATAGAATCATAAGAAATAATGAGTCATAAGAAATAAGAAATAATACTTTTTAAAGCCACTAAATTTTTGAGTGGTTTTTAGTATGCAGAAACTAATAACTAATACATAAAATGTGTTACAATGGCACGTTAGAAATGCAATGCCATTGGTGACATAAATATAAATCATTTATCATTGGCTTTAAGACCCAGTAATGGGCAGAGGCTGTAAAAATAGTAAAAAGTTAGTAAAAGCTTGTGGGATGGTGAACAAATTGTTAATGGAAGCTGAAAATATGGCCACACGTGTTTTGTACAATTGCCTCCAATAATTTGGAAGGTAGAAAATGTACCTAATGAACTTGTGTATCTGACAAAGAAGATTTCTGGGCAGAATACTGAATATATTGACCTCTTTAAATTGTGTATAATGTTATAGGAGAAGAGAAATAAACTAAACAAAGAAAAGTACAGTTGAAAAAAAGAATTTAGAAAGAAGATAGAAGTTCTTGGACTGACTGAGTTGGAATATCAAACTGTTTCTCATCCTCAGTCTCTCCAGCCAGTAAAATATTCCCAAAGAAAGAAATGACTGTAGGTAAAGATCAATAAGTGTGTGGCTATGAAAGCCTTTGTTGAGACCACAGAATAATTTAGCTTGATGTCTGATAGGCCTTCTAAACCAGACAAAAGGGCTTTAAAAAATCTTAAAGATATTTTCTCACAGCATGCTGAACACAAGGAAGAGACCTCTGTCTCTGCTATTTCTGGGGCCTGTCCTATACTTTTCCTCCTTTCTACATTTATTCAAACTGTTTCCTCTTTCTTCCATTTATTGAATGCCTTTCTCTGCTGTCTCTGTACATCCAAATTCTTCCAATGCTTCATCTACCTTCTTCATGAAGGCTGCCTGAAAACCTCACATAGAAATAATCTCTCTTTCTTCTGAACTCCAGGAGCACCAAATATATACTTTTCTTTAAAGTCTTATTTATACATATTTATAACATGTATTTAAAAATTATAAAATAATATTTATATTTACAATATAAATATTTACTGTTATATTAAGAAAATTACATTTTCTATCTTGCATCATATTCATTCACTTCACTGTCTTATTTCTCCCTCCGTATTTTAACCTCCTTATGGCAAAACTAATGTCTGGCTCAATTTTGCATGTTTCACATCTTCAAGCACAATAAATATTCAATAAGTAAATACCAGTGAGTACTTGTCCATTGCTCTGTAAATACCTTTTTGGGATGCAAAGAAATAGCAAGACACAATTGGACTGAAATTATAGAAATATGGAGTTTCTTCACTCATACTGAAAAGAATGCAGAAAGTGTCTCAGAAAAGAGGATGTGAAATAATTCCATCAACTGTGCTGATGAGGACTCAGAATTGAACGTGGGTTATAGCAACATGCAGTTCTTTGTTCATCTTGATAAGAGCAGTTCCAGTAGGGTTTTGGGGAGGTTAAGGCCTGAGATGAGTATCTTCAAGAGAGAGCAGAGAGAGAAAGGGAAAAGACTGACAGTAAACGATTCTTTTGAAAAAGTTAATTTTAAGGAAGAGAGAAATGGAGTGAAATGAGGTCAAAAAAGGGAATGTAAGTTATTTTTTGAAGATGAGATAAAAATGTGTGTTGTATGATGATATGAAAGATGGTATAAGAAAAAGGGGAGAAAGGCTGGAGTCCAGTGAATTGCTGGAAGAGTTCGTCTCAGGAGCACAGGCAGTTCATCCACCATAACAGAAGAGAAGGTCAAGTTGGAGCACATGTGCACAGAAACAGTCGATTTGGCGGCTGAGCTAGGTTTATAATCAACTTCTTTCGAATGGCTTAGCAACACATGGAGGGATAATACATTAAGAATGAAGGGCTAAAAAAGGCCATCAGGTTCTATCCTCTTCAGTCTGTCTTTTTAGAGAAACAAGTCACAGAAACCTGAAGAAACTGGTCTTTATCATTTAATAGTAGAAATGAGACTAGAACTCAGATTTGCTCAGAAGGCATTTCCCCTGTATTGCATTGTCTAAGACGACTAAGAAAAATATTCCAGCTGCCTGCAGGTCTGGTTGTTAAGGCTGAGGTATGAGTGTTGCCTTGACATCCTCTCTGACTGAGTGCGAGCCTGTGGAGTCGTGTTTGCTCTGACATCCAATGCTCCTGTGTGTGCTGCAGATCAGGAATCTTGGTAAATACATCCTCTATCTCCTCACCCCGCTCCGGTTAAGCAGATTTGTAGGGCTTTCTCCGATGATTTGTGAATTATCATGTACCGAAAGTAGAGAGTGGAAGGACTCAGTTTTCTATTACTATGTATAAAAGCATTCTTATAATAGATATTTAACAAATTCTGTTGCACCTTGTGTTTTCTCCAAGTATATAGAAAAATTACATTTTCTCAATATTCACTTGATGGTTATTATTGGGAATAAGATGGAATAAAAGACATACTACCTGTTCTCAAAAGGGCTAAGTAGGACAACTAAGAGAATGAAGAGAAAAAAAAAAAGCCAAATGGAGGTGTGAGGAATGCAAAAGGAGATTTTAATTCTGACAAGAATTAGATAAGAGTTCAGGGAGGAGATAGTTGCACTGAGGGCTTATTTTGTTTAAAAGAACTACATAAGAAAGGCACAAAAGAAGAAAAAGATTCTAGATATTTTCTAGTTATAAAAAGAATAGTATGACAGGAAGTAAAAGGAGGAAATATAAAATGGTTTTATAATTCCTGTCAGTACATAGCTCATATAATAAATGTTGGAATGCATGTGTTAGAATTCCATCATCTATTCATACATACAAAATATATAGTTTGCCTAGACCAACCCTTTCCCCTCACATTCTAAAAAGATAATATTTATTTATATAAGCCACAGTATGTGTACCTCTGCTTAGTTGAAAAGAGAGGTTAAATATAAAGAATGGATAAATATGGGGAATTCCTTATAATAATAAATGGATATAGAGGGCTATCTTTTTTGAAACAATAAGTAAAATACTAAGGCAGTTTTATTTCACTTTTAATAAATAAATTTCATCTGATCTAGTCAGTTTTATTTCATTTATAAAATACTTAAGAGAAAGGTAATGTGAAATTATTTTATTTTTGTGGTATTATTTTAATTGCACTCAAATTATTTTAGTTTCACTTGAACAATGAGAATGCTTTATTTCAATATCATTTTAAAACTCAGCATTGTTGACATCATACTATTGTTTTCCTCCTCTTTTTTTTGACTTATTAGTGTCCAGTTTGTAGACTGATAAAGCCCTCATTTTTTAATGTCAAACGTAGGTAATTTCAAAATAAACAATGAAATCTGGTTTCTTATTCAAGCATGTTTTTCCTTCCCTTTATATGATTTTCTTTTCTTTGTATACAACCAGTGTTCATGAAAGGAAAGGAGAAATAGAAAAGAATATTTGTCAATATGGCTTAGGAAAATCTCAAGAGACTGGACTCTCTGTAATGGTGCTAACCATTTTAGAACATTGGAAGTTATAAAAAGAAGCAAGAGAGAGAGAGCGAGGACTGACACAGCTTATGCCTCTTATATCAATTATTCCCTAGTGAACTGGCAATAACAACTCACAATATGCCACAAACTATGGCAACCCAGCTGTTTCAGAACAACTAATGTGAATTTTATGGATAATGATTAGATTCATTTTCTGCTAAGGAAAGTAGAGTCCAAAAGTGTGTACTTAACAAAATATATCTAGGAGGATGCATTTCAAGTTTGTGGTTGAAACTAATGAGACACATAGCATGTTGTCGTTGGTTCTGCTTGCTTTCTATAAGTAAATAACACTTTAGATAATTCCAAGGAAACCAGTTCTTCTATAAACAGTAGCATAAATTGCCTTATGAAGGATCATTCATTGATAGTATACTACTAAAGCTTAATTGATACTATTCTTTACATGGAAAAGTCAAGGCCAAAGATTTTCTCTTAAATGACATTTTCTGTGAGCTAAAGTTATCTTTAAGCTTTAGAGATAAATTGAATTAGAAAATAATTCCTCAGAGGCATGCTGACTGTTCTTAGAGACAGACACCAGCATGGTCATAGCTGTTGTTAACATGTTAAAGTACTTCCATAATAGTGAGTAGCTGCTGCCCTAGGCTAGTCTCACGTCTCCACCCTCCTCTGTTGTCCTGCAGCCCCTCAGCCACTTTACAGCTTCCCGAATTCCAGCAAAGGGCCAATACATGTAATCTCATTCTAGCACAGGGCCAATGCCTGTCATCTCCTGGGGCATTCAGGTTCCTGCTTCAGGCTGTAGCCCATATGGATTCTGATTGGTCAGCATGTGCTGAGCTCATTTCCAATATTTTGAATATAACCCTTTTGTACACCTTTTATGAATGATTTCTTTGGAACTCAAACTCAAGGTAATTTCTTAAGTACTGTTGATATTCTTATACAATCTTTGAGACAGATGCTTAACTAAGAGAACGTCTTTCTCTCATTAATATTCATGACCCAGCATGGAAGCTCATACCTATAATTCCAGGGCTTTGGGAAGCTGGAGGCAGAAGGATTGCTTGAGGCCAGGAATTTGACACCAGCCTAGGCAACATAGTGAGACCCTGTCTCTACACATTTTTTTAAAAAAATTAGCCAGGCATGGTGGTACACACCTGTAGTCCCAGCTACTAGAGAGGCTGAGGTGGGAGGATTGCCTGAACCTGGGAGGTTGAGGCTGCAGTGAGCAATAATCATGTCACTGCTCTCCAACCTGGGCCACAGAGTGAGATTCTATGTCAAATATATATATATATTCTTATACAATCTTTGATGCAAATGATTACTATTAATATTATTAATTAATCAGAAAGGACTCCAGTAGCATTTTGGTGTTTGTTTCAGGTCTTTTTGGCTAAGTGACTTTTTAATGAACTATTAGAAAGTTATACATAGAGGCTTGGATACTTGTCAGAGAGAAAAATGAAAGATAAATCTTGTTCAGAGGCTCCTGATGACTTGAAAGATTAAATGAGTTTTCTTGTTTATTAGGGTCTGAGAAACCTGTATCCAACTAAGAACACGAGAAAAAGTTAATAAAAGCTTTTTTCCTATGGGAAACAGAGTGGATACAGACTCTTCCTCTTCGTATACAGAACCTGACCTGCTCATAATAGCTTCCCCTGATCTTTTACCTTCTCAGGCTATGGTATGTGCATGCCTTTGTTCTGCGCCCTTATTAACAAGCGCTTGTTTATCTCCACATAGCCCATTGTGTTGTAACGATCTGCTGTTCCTGCTTCATATTCCTCTGTCTATTTCTTCAGTGCTCAGGAGAGTTCGTGGCACTCGGAAAACTTTCCTTGAATGAGGAGAGAGAGACTAAAAGCAATGATTTCTACCAAACATATTAAGTAACAGCACTGGCCATACCATGCTGTTACTTAGTAGCAGTCTCCTCAAGTGTGTGAGCAACTCCTCTCACAGTGGACTTAGGTGCACCCGTTGGTCTTGTGGACTAGGACCAGGCATTGAACCACAATAGAGGTGTGCGAGGTATGAGTTGGGCAGCAGCATGGGGGCTACCATTACTGCGACTGCTGTAATGTCACCAACACCACGGCTGCTCTCTCCCTTTCCCTGAAGTGATTGAAGATAGGCTTCCACAATCTCCACAGGCATTCTATATAGGTTTCTATAATCTATTATCTTTGAAAAATGTCATATGTGAGAGTCACCTCTTGGAGAATCATTATGCTTGCAACAATCAAGCATTCTTGGAGAATCATAATGTTCCTCATTAAGAATTCTGAAAAAGGAGGCCAGGTGCGGTGGCTCACGCCTGTAATCCCAGCACTTTGGGTGGCTCAGGCGGGCGGATCATGAGGTCAGGAGATCGAGACCATACTGACTAACACAGTGAAACCCCACCTCTACTAAAAATACAAAAAAATTAGCCGGGCGTTGTGGCGGGTGCCTGTAGTCCCAGCCACTTGGGAACTTGGGAGGCTGAGGCAGGAGAATGGCGTGAACCCGGGAGGCGGAGCTTGCAGTGAGCCAAGACGAGAGGGCGCCACTGCATTCCAGCCTGGGCGACAGAGCAAGGCTCTGTCTCCAAAAAAAAAAAAAAAAAAAGAATTCTGAAAAAGGAATCTATCCAGGTTTGGGTAACCCAGTATTTTCCAACTTTTATATGAACACAGACTATTTTTATTTCAAGAAAGACCTACTTCCATCTCCACAGATAAAATGCTTTGCTAAAATTTGAGCAGGCAAAACTCACTGAATTTTGGCACTATTATTTGTAAAATTTTAGGCAAGTTATGGGACTTTATGTTACACACGTCCGTGTGAAGAGATCACCAAACAGGCTTTGTGTGAGCAATAAAGCTTTTTAATCACCTGGGTGCAGGAGGACTGAGTCCAAAAAAGGAGTCAGCAAAGGGATGTAGGGGTGGGGCAGTTTTATGATTTGGGTAGGTAGTGGAAAATTACAATTAAAGGGGGTTGTCCTCTTGTTGGCAGGGGCGGGAGTCACAAGGTGCTTGTTGGGGGAGCTCCTGAGATTCATTGTCCAGGAGAACGAATGTCACAAGGTCAATTGATCAGTTAGGGCAGGGCAGGAACAAATCACAATGGTGGAATGTCATCAGTTAAGGCAGGAACTAGCTATTTTCACTTCCTTTGTGGTTCTTCAGTTGCTTCAGGCCATCTGGATGTATAGGTGCAGGTCACAGGGGATCTGATGGCTTAGTTTGGGCTCAGAAGCCTGACATTTTACTCTTTCTGAGTCTCATTTTCTTCCTTTATAAAATTGAATAATAATGCTTTTCCACAGGGCCATTATAAGGATTGAATGAACACCATATAATTTATAATCAGTGTATGGGCTAGCATTTAGTAAATACTCAATGGACATGAATTTCCTACCATTCCCTCAGATTCCCTCATACCTGTTTTTGTTCTGTCATCCTCTTTTTGAGCTAACTTTACAGGATTTATTAAAACCAGAATCTAATGGAAAAAAGACTTTCTCAGTAAGAGCTGCCTAGTTACTGTCTTCTTGCTTCTTGTCTGGCACAGGTGGGAAACATTTCTTGGAGGCCTGATTTTTTCTAACCAGTTTATACAAATGACAACTGCGGTCCCATCCACTCCAATCTGTGGATTTGGTGAACATGAACATCTATCCTTTAAGCATGACATGAATTTTGTTAAATATGGAATGTTTTCCAGAGCTCACTCACCAACGGTAATATGTGAGTATAGATTGTTAATACTAGAAGTTTGTTTATGGAAAGAAGCAGGTACCATGAATTATAATGAATTTCTATAAGAGCCTATAAATATAAATAAGATTTACTCTATTAATAGAGTATGCATGTTATTTACTCTGTAACTATAAATATGACTTACTCTCAGAAATCATATCAGTTTATACTTAGTCATAAAGACAAGTTCAAAATTTTACATCCACTCAAGTTTTCACTAGTTGCCTTTAACTTCAGAAGAGAAATTATACATTTTTGGCGGGTCATTAATTGCTACAGTGTCTCTTTTAGTAAAATAATAAAATGATACTAAACTATCAGAAAACATAGTATTTCTTTTTGCTGTTGCAGCCATTTAGCAATCTCTATGGAGTTCATCCTTTATATAATTGCATAGAGAATGATTTTAATGCTCATGGTGTTCTTCTCCTGAATTCCAATGCCCAAGGTAATGTGATTGTCTGGTTAAATTATAAAGAAGCAAATGCACAATTTAAATGCTAATTTTGTCTTTTCTCCTTTAAAAATGCTTATTAATTAGAAGCAAATCGAGTGAGCGATTGTCTACAATTTAACATTTTGGTTTCAAAATGAAAATTTTTTTAATGAAAGATATACATTCATTCTAATATATTGCAAAATACCATTAAGACACATAACACTAAAGACATGTAACTGGAGAAATCAGAAGCCACTTGAACAATCAGTGTTAGAAATTTCATGGTAATGTAATGTCTACGGCTCTGCCTTATCATCTCAACAAGATAAACATTGCCAAGGCCACATTTCTGCATTAAATTAGGCTAGAAATATTTGAAATGCCTTGCTTCTGCAGTGGCTTTCCTTAATTGTGTGCTTGGGTTTAAACTAACTCCCTTTCTCGCTGGCGCGCGCGTGCGTGTGTGTGTGTGTGTGTGTGTGTGTGTGTGTGTAGTAGGGGTGGAAAAATTCCACCTCCATTCTCTTAATGCTCCCAGCTTGGTTTGATAATTAGATTGGCCTAAGATAGAGTAATGAGAGAAAAGTATACAGATTTATTTGACACATGTTTTATGTAGCATGGAAACCCTCATAAATAAATAAAGACCTGAAGAAGCAGTTAGAGTCAGATACTTAAATACTGAATTGGACAAAGAATAGCAAATTGTGAAGAAAGCAATTAAATTATTTGGGGAGGCTTAAAGGACAAGAGTTATTTTAACAAAGTCTGCACAGTATTTTCTTAGTCTCAACATTCTGTCCTTGGTGATGAGAATGTTGCATCTTTCTAGCATAGGGTGGGTATCTTTCACATGGGGATTCCAACCTTTTAAGAAACAGGAAAAAGGTCAGAGTGATCTTTTTGCACCTGCTCTTTTTCAAGTGCCCTTAACTTAAATTGTCAATACACCAGAATGGCATATTTTAACCCCTTCAGTGCATAAGTGCAGTAAGTAACTGACTTGATGAACTCTTTGAAAAGTAAAATTGTGAACACGTGGAACCGGGAAATCCAGGCACACACTTACAGGTTATTACAGCTATGAATAGGGCCTGATATAATTAGGCAGCCAGCCTAGGTAGCATACCAATGTTAGAAACATTAATAGTAATCTTTGCACTTATTTTATTGGTGCTTATTTTGTACTTTGCTTTATTCTCCTCAGAAACCACTCTTAGCCCATATCCTTCTTTAACATTCCGGACTATTGGAGGAATTCTTGACTTCAACATGTTTCTGGACCCCACTCCTGAAAATGTCCAGCAATACACAGAGATGAGTACAGTACTGTAAGTAATGCTCACGTTCCCATTGCCCTTGTTCTCATGAGGGAGAAGCAATTCGTGAGTCTATAAATTAACCATCCTTCAGCCCTCTAATCTCAAGGTTAATTGTGCCTACATTAAGGCCAAAACTCCTGACTTGATTGTAACTTTATTAAATAAGGGTTTTAAATCCTGTTGGAATAATTTAGCCAGAATTTACCTGAAATAAAATTATACCTTCAAAAAGTATTCTAGACTTCTAGACTGAAGTATTTTTTCCCCTCTAGTCACAGCCACAAATCTCAGTTTTATTACTTCTGGTCTGTCATGTTCTGTGGCACTTGACAATTCTCCCAAAAGGATTCAAATCCCAGCCAGTCAGTTCAGTGAGGCCCATCAGAACTGGGTTTTGAAGAGTCAATGTTTGGAGGAAAACCTTCTGATAGGAAGGAATTCATGGAAAATGCAGTGGTGACCGTGGTTTATTCTCTGCGCTCTTCTCTTTTCCTACCCAATTCCTAGGTGTTTCCTTAGGGAGCCTCCCCTACCCTGTACCCCTCCTGTTCATCTATCAAGCATTCTATACACAGATAGTACCCAAAATATGCTGCTAGTGTAGTGTTCATCCCCCATCAAATCATCATTCCATAAATGATCTCTTGTTTCTGGGGTGAGTTAGTCAAATACCAAAATTCACAGGGATTTTTGCTGTTCAAAATAAGACACTTGGAGACTCAAATGAAAAACTCTCTAACAAAAATTATTACAGGCTTTATTCTAGGTGGGTGAGAAAGGAGAAGAAATGTTTTGGGCCAGTGGCAGGCCTCGGCAGAGCTATTAAATAATAATTACTAGAATGACTTTTGTTAGATTCTCACTGAATCTGACTTGTCAGAATTTTGTCATCAAAACATAATGCCAAGGCCTGGTGCGGTGGTGCACCCCAGCTCTTTGGGAGGCCAAGGCTGGTGGATAACCTGAGGCCAGGAGTTCAAGACCAGGCTGGACAACATGGTGAAACCCCATCTCTACTAAAAATACAAAATTAGCCAGGTGTGATGGTGCACACCTGTAATTCCATCTACTCAGAGGCTGAGGCAGGAGAATCGCTTGAACCCCAGGAGGTGGAGGTTGCAGCGAGCCGAGATCGCACCATTGCACTCCAGCCTGGGCAACACGGGTGAAACTTTGTCTCAAAAAACCAAAACCAAAAACAAAACAAAAACATAATGCCAAAAGCCTCTGTTATGATAATCATGGGAAGAGGAAAACAACATTTCCTAATGGGAGATTTCTTAGTTCTCTTAGACACTAGAGAATGATGACTGATGAAGATTACTGAGCTGAGCTAGAAACAAGGCCTACATCAAATCCTGTGGCTTCCAGGGGTTCTATAATGGGTGTATTGTCTCACCTCCCCAAAGTCTACAGAAGCTTCTACACAGGATTTAGAAAAGATAGAACTGAGAGCGGGGACATGAGGAGGTTGCAGAGAGGGCTAGAAAAAGGAGTGACCGCCGTCCTCCTGAATCTTGTTGCTTTCTGGGTCAATCCTTCCTGTTCCTTGTCTACTGCTGACATCTACTGCAGGGGAATAGGGGACTGGGTGTCCCCACCCTTCCAGCACCTCTGCCTAGGACAGGCTTGTTTGATTCTAAAATCCTTTAGAATAGCCAGCAAGAGTGGTGACAGAGGTCAAGCAAAAGTTACTCCCATTTACCTTGTCCTTCAGGTAATCTTCACTGTCCTGAAGAACTGATCCAAAGCTGGCAACTTAAAAGAAATAAATTGTTTCTTATTTTCATCTTGTTGTTGATAATACAAACTTCTCTTAGCTCCTTTAGTATTTCAGGGGAGATGATGAGCTGGTTCTATACATCTGAATAATTGGGATTTCAAGTAAGAATATGGGTACTAGGTGACCTGGGTTTCACTCCTGTCTCTTCCCCTCATCTGTTGTGTGATCTCAGACAAGTTACTTAACTTTCTGGTACCTCTCATTTTCTCATTTGTAAAATGGGAATAATTATAGCACTTATCTCATAAGGTTGCTGTGATAATTAAATGAGATAATAAACTTAAAATGCATTTAAATCACCCTTTAAGCTGCAATGAATTCTGTGCTATGGGCACTTTTCTTATCTCAATGGACCTTTATTTTTATTTATTTATTTATTTTTAGACGGAGTTACAGTCTTGGTGCCCAGGCTGGAGTGCAATGGTGCAATCTCGGCTCACTGCAACCTTGGCCTCCCTGGTTCAAGGAATTCTCCTCCCTCAGCCTCCCAAGTAGCTGGGATTACAGGCATGTGCCAACATGCCTGGCTAATTTTGTATTTTAAGTAGAGGTGGGGTTTATCCATGTTGGTCAGGCTGGTCTCGAACTCCAGACCTCAGGTGATCCACCCATCTTGGCCTCCCAAATGCTAGGATTATAGGCATGAGCCACCGTGTCTGGCCTCTCAATGGACCTTTCTATGGCTTGGTGACTACCCTGTCCTTGAATACTTCTTGCTAGGCTTTTGGAACAGTATTTCCTTGTTCTCTTCCAGTCCCTCTGGCTTCTTTTTCCTAATCTCCCAACAGATGTTTTACTCTCCCCATAAATGTTGGTATTCCTCAGAGTTCTGTATTCTTTTCAAAAAGGGCAGCTATCGGGGAACCTACCCCGACAGTCATGTAGGTTCTTTTCTGTTTTCCCTAAGCATCAGCCAGTTTGAGAAATAAAGGGACAGAGTACAAAAGAGAGAAATTTTAAAGCTTGGTGTCCAGGGGAGACATCACATGTCGGTAGGTTCCGTGATGCCCCACAAGCTGCAAAACCAGCAAGTTTTTATTAGGGATTTTCAAAAGTGGAGGGAGTGTACGAATAGGGTGTAGGTCACAAAGATTACGTACTTCACAAGGTAATAGAATATCACAAGGCAAATGGAAGCAGGGCAAGATCACAGGACCACAGGACCGGGGCAAAATTAAAATTGCTAATGAAGTTTCGGGCACCACTGTCATTGATAACATCTTATCAGGAGACAGGGTTTTGAGAGCAACCAGTCTGACCAAAATTTATTAGGCAGGAATTTCCTCTTCCTAATAAGCCTGGGAGTGCTATGGGAGACTGGGGTTTATTTCACCCCTACAGCCTCGACCATGGAAGACGGCCACACCCAAGGGGACCATCTATAGACCCACCCTCAGGGGCTTATTCTCTTTCCCAGGGATGTTCCTTGCTGAGAAAAAGAATTCAGTGATATTTCTCCCATTTGCTTTTTAAAGAAGAGAAATATGGCTCTGTTCCACCCGGCTCACCGGTGGTCAGAGTTTAAGGTTATCTCTCTTGTTCCCTAAACATTGCTGTTATCCTGTTTTTTTCAAGGTGCCCAGATTTCATATTGTTCAAACACACATGCTCTACAATTCATGCAGTTAACACAATTATCACAGGGTCCTGAGGCAACATACATCCTCCTCAGCTGATGGGATTAAGAGATTAAAGTAAAGACAGGCATAGGAAATCACAAGGGTATTGATTGGGGAAGTGATAAGTGTCCATGAAATCTTCACAATTTATGTTTAGAGATTGCAATAAAGACAGGCATAAGAAATTATAAAAGTATTAATTTGGGGAACTAATAAATGTCCATGAAATTGTCACAATCCACGTTCTTCTGCCATGGCTTCAGCCAGTCCCTCCATTTGGGGTCCCTGACTCCCTGCAATAGGCAGCTACCCAGCAATGTTATCTATACTTATGACATCTGCTACTATGCATGCACTGATGAATCACATGTCTCTCCATCCAACCAAAACTTTTATTGGAATGCCTGCATTTTTTTAATGTCTATTGAAAAGTGTATATTTTGGGTACCACAAGCACCACAACATATTCTGTAAAAATATAATCATCTTTACCTAAACTCCATAGCAACTAGATCTTCCTGTTGTCATTATCTTCTAATTGAATAAAATCATCAGGAACCCAGATATCCAAGCTAGAAGGATAAAATATCTTCTTTTCAACCCTTCATTCACTATAGCCCAGAGATAGAATCCATTTCTTTATTTCATTTCCAGCACTCTTGAGAAGGTTTCATCGTATCTCCTTGGACTGTTTTAATAGCTGGGAACTGTCTTTCCTGCCCCCTATTTGGTTTCCCTACAAACTGTCCTTCACATTTTTGCCAGAAGGATAGTTGTAAAATGCAAATCCCACATTTTCACTACTCTGTTAAAACATATAACTCTAAAGCAGCATTGTCAAGTAGAAATATAATTCTAGCCACATATGTAATTTTAAATTTTTCAGTAATCAGTTAAAAAAAGTAAAGACAGGTGAAATTCATGTTAATAATACAGTATATTTTACTTAGCTCAATATATCTAAAACGTTATCATTTCAACACGCAATCAGTAAAAAAAAAAAGAGGTATTTTACAATTTTTTTTGTAGTAAGCTTTTGAAATCTGGTGTGTATTACTTTACATTTATAGCACATCTTAATTTGGTTTAGCCACATTTTAAGTACTCATTGCCACATGTGGATCGTACCTCCCATACTGGTCTGCACAGGACTAATACATAAAAGGTCCAAATTCGTTTGTCTGGTTTATGAGGGTCCTTGATTATCTGCTTCCATTCCTCATTTTCAGCACCATCTCCAATCAACTTCTCAACAAACTCTAAGTCCTAGCTCTGCTGAAATTTTTCAAGATCTACTAAGTTCTTAGCATCTATGCTTTCGCCAATATTATCCTCCCCTTTACTTGGAAGAGTGCCCCATCTTCTCTACTTGGTGACTTGATTGTTCTTTACACCACTTTCTCTGCAAAGTTTTTCCAAGTCCCTACTACTGAAGACCCAGATGCCCACTCTTCTTGTACATGTCCCAGTTCATATATGGTGTGAATGGAAGTTTTGTTTTGTCCCATGCATTCCTGGTTCTACTTTCCAACTTGTCACAGGTGAATATGAGTCCTGCCTCTGATTCTACAAAATCAGATATTGTGAAATGTATCATCGGTTGGCATAAGGTGACATATTTGAATCATTTTTTATTTCCTTACCTTAACCCACAGGCTGAGCAATTTATTTTTATTATTTTGACTATAATTTACAAGCCTACTTTAAAAATGTAAACATTCAAAGCCTCTTGAAATTATATTATACATAGTTGTTTTTTATTTCTTTTGTAACACTAAACAGTCAACAGAATTAACCTTGGGAAAAGTATGAATAATTTTAATAATTAACTTGCTGATCATTCTTTAGTTTTTTTTTTATTTTTCAGCCATACTCAAATGACTTATAATCAAGTTCTTAGCATAACAGGACTTTAAAAAAATCTTCATTTATTATTATTTAAAAGAACATCTACATTTCTAAATAAGCATGCCCTTTGTGAATATTCTGGCTTGTTTATAATGAGGTTAGAAAATAGTTTTCTAAATATGTTTATGTTTAATTTCATACGTACTATGGGAATTTGTTCTCCAGTAACAGTGTCAAATGATATAAAAACACATCCCCAAAGTCCCCTGCATTTAGCAGAAACAACCACTTTTTTTTTTTTTTGAGATGGAGTCTCACCCTGTCGCCCAGGCTGGAGTGCAGTGGCGCGACCCCGGCTCACTGCAAGCTCCGCCTCCCGGGTTCACACCATTCTCCTGCCTCAGCCTCCCAAGTAGCTGAGACTACAGGCACCTGGCACCACGCCTGGCTAGTTTTTTGTATTTTTAGTAGAGAAGGGGTTTCACCGAGTTAGCCAGGATGGTCTTGATCTCCCGACCTCGTGATCCGCCCGCCTTGGCCTCCCAAAGTGCTGGGATTACTGGCGTGAGCCACTGTGCCCGGCTGGAAACAAGCACTTTTAACAGCTTTGCAAATATTCCTTCAGACATTTACTATGAATTTACACACATGTATTTGTATTTTTCCCTTCTGTATAAATGGAATCATGCTAGAACTACTTTTGCGTGATGAATTTTTAATTTATTTCTGTGTGGGAGATCTTTCCAACATCAGTATGTACAGATCTATGTCATTCTTTTAAAAAGCAAGTGACATTTAAGTTGATTTCAATGTTTCACTGTCATAAAGAATGTCGTAACAAACATCCTTATTCAAATGTCTTTGGGCATGTGTGTGTTTTTGTAGGATACATTGTTATAGGTGAAATGAATGAGTCAATAAATGAGTTAAGAATAGTCCTGTTTGAAATTTTGATAGATATTCCTAATGCTGTCTTTCAGAAAAAACAAAAAGACTACTAATTCTATTAATTTCCACTAGAGTAGAAAGGATGAGAACTAGACCTGAAGGTAGTGTAATTTGTTGGTGGCAAGGGTGCTGGGTCAGGCATCTGCAGAACTGGTTCCTATTCTCCTTTCTGATGGTCTGCTTAGCTCTGTGACATGGCACTTAACCTTTCTGTCTTCCTGGGTCCTCTAACATGCTACCTCTAAAAAATGCTAACGTAATAGAAGCATTTTGTAGCCTTGGTTTTCAAGCATGTAGCAGAATTTAACACGCTTAATATGCAGTTTATGAAGGCTGCATTTCTAAATCAATCTGATAAATCTTCTGCTTGCTGAAATTCCTTTAGAATGGAACCAAACTCAAAAAAGCTAAGACCTTCAAGACCCACTCACATTCTCGGGAGCCAGCACTGCATTTGGTGCTTTGTTGCCCGAATGCTACTTTGACTCAGAGACCAGCTTTTGACTGGGTGTCTAAGGCCAGTAGGGATTCCAGGCAGGCAGCAGACAATCAGTTAGAAAGCCAGAAGAGGTGAGGTAGAAGGCCAAGGCATGGCAGAAATCCACTTGACAAGTATTCTGGTGAAAATGCTATGTTGCCAGACTTACCTGTTTCTCAGTATTCACAGGTAAAGAGTTCCCGATAAAAGAGTTTTATTTCCCAAGCCTGTGCCAGAATAGCCGTCAACCTGTGACTTAACTTTTTTTTTTTTTAACCAACATTACTGTTATCACTGTAAGTGTTTAGCTTAAATACAAGTATACTATGAGGTGGTGGAGGTAAAATCAACTGCAAGGCAAAACCTGATTCCAGGTTTTGCTGAACAGTGAGAAAGTGATTAGAGGGACAACTATATATACCAATTTTCTTTCTCCCTTTCAAATACTCATTTCAAAGTGGAAAAAAAAATGAAAGGATGTTCAAACCAGAATTCTGAAACTGAGAGGAAAATTACCAAGCAGTGGCAGTCTAGGCTATTTGACTCTTCAGTGTTGCTGCACATTGTGTTTTCCTGGTTTTGAAAGCAATTGGGGGGATGGAGGCTGGGTGGAAGTGGGATAGGGGAGGGCAGTATAGTTAGAGAACCAGTATTCCAAGTTCTGTGCCATCCAATATGGCAGCCCCTAGCCCCATGTGGCCATTGAACACTTAAAATGTGCCCAGATTGCTTTGAGACATGCTCAAAGACTTAGCACAAAAACAAAAAGTAATATCAATAATTAATATATTATTATCATATTTTATGTTATATATTATACCTTAATTCAATATTACATTAATGATACTATTATTAATGTTATATTAAAGACACTGATAGCAATTAAATACTATTTTATCTGGATTACATGTGAGAATGATAATATTTTTGGATCTGTTGAGTTAAAATATATTACTAACAAATAAATGATTTCTTTTTACTTTTTAAAATGTGATACTAGAAAATTTTAAATTATATATGTGTTTCGTATTTATGGCTTGCATTGTGTTTCTGTTGGACAGTACTATATATTATCAGCTTAGGCTGATTCCTGATGATGCTTGTGCATTCACACACTAGGAAGAATTAGGATACTGATTAGAAGGGAGGAAGATCTGCCTCAGGTTTAAAGTTTCTGTGGGGGCAATTTTTATTTTTTATGACCATAGAAAATTTTGCCCATAAGATGTTGTGAACCCATAAAATCTAAGACAGGTCTCAGTTAATTTAGAAAGTTTATTTTGCCAAGGATGAGGACACGTGTGTGACACAGCCTCAGGAAGTCCTGACGACATGTGCCCAAGGTGGTCCGGGCACATCTTTGGTTTTACACATTTTAGGGAGACCATGAGACATCAATCAATATATGTAAGAGGTACATTGGTTTGGTCTGAAAAGGCGGAACAACTTGAAGCAAAGGCAGGAAGACTCCAAGTCGGGAGGGAGTTTCCAGGTCACAGATAGGTGAGACACAGACAGTTACATTTTTTGAGTTTCCGATTAGCCTCTCCAAGGGAGGCAATCAGATATGCACTTATGTCAGTGAGCAGAGGGATAACTTTGAATAGAATGGGAGGCAGGTTTGCCCTAAGCAGTTTCCAGCTTGAGTTTTCCTTAGTGATATATATGCAAATAACTACACCATTTTATATCAAGGATTTGAGCATCTTGTGGATTTTGGTATCCACAGGGAGGACCAATCCACAGCGAGGAACAAATTCCCCTTGAATACTAAGGAACAATTGTATACACAACCTACACGGATTATACTTTGAGAATATTTTAATTAAGTTTTAGTTCTTCAGACATGTAGCATTGAATCTTGACTAACTTAGGAGCAGTTTCCTTGGTTGAAGTTTTTATAAGCAAAGCTCTTGGAAATATACATTTAAAAAACCTTCAGATAACTGGGATGCTAATGTATTCTAGGAGCTTCTAAAATCTAAATTGCAAAAGTTATTCTTTATTCTAAAGCTACATTGGCCTCAAGTAAAATGACATTTTTCTTTTGTACAACACCAACCAGTGGCTTAATTTTTTAACCTTTAGTTAAGAATTTGTGTAGTTAGGCCGGGCGCAGTGGCTTATGCCTGTAATCCCAGCACTTTGGGAGGCCGAGGCGAGTGGATCACCTGAGGTCAGGAGTTCTAGACCAGCCTGGCCAACATGGTAAAACCCCGTCTCTACTAAAAATACAAAAATCAGCCAGGCATGGTGGCGCATGCCTGTAATCCCAGCTACTTGGGGGGCTGAGGCAGGAGAATCACTTGAACCCAGGAGGCAGAGGCTGCAGTGAGCTGAGATCGCGCCACCGCACTCCAGCCTGGGGGACAAGAAAGAGACTACGTCTCCAAAAAAAAATTTGCATAGTTATTTGCACCATATTAGTATTCTTTTCACCTTTGTGGACAAAGCCATTAAACAATTTTAAGGAAAGAATTCCCTCTTCTGTAAGTTTTGAGATCTTTATGTTAGGTTTACACTCTTTAAGTGTATATAATAACTCAAACATCAGATATTTAGTGTATTGCCTGTGTAGTGTTCTAATTTGGGCATAATTTCAGAATATTATTTCATTTATTTGATTAACTTTGAGTCTGTCTAGTTATCAGTCTCTAGATCACAAGATATTTGGTTACTGTAGTTTTAACTCTCAACATTGGTTCTGTACAGCCAGATGGCAGGGGCTTCCTGATATTTTGTTACAATTTGAATTTGAAATAAGGTTTTATCTCTTATAAACACAACCATTTATAATAATTTGTTGAAAGAGAGCACTTCAGTTGATAAGTCATTGCTCAGAAACCACATAAGCACAGAAACAAAGGGGACTTAGATAGGAGGGCTTTTTTTTTTTTTCTTTTTCTTCTTTTTTTTTTGAGATGGAGTTTCACTCTTGTTGTCCAGACTGGAGTGCAGTGGCACGATCTCAGCTCACTGCAACCTCTGCCTCCTGGGTTCAAGCGATTCTCTTGCCTCAGCTTTCTGAGTAGCTGGGATTACAGGCATGCGCCACCGCACCCGGCTAATTTTTTGTATTTTTAGTAGAGATGGGGTTTCACCATATTGGCCAGGCTGGTCTTAAATTCCTGACTTCAGATGATCCGCCCTTCTCGGCCTCCCAAAGTGCTGGGATTACAGGCATAAGCCACCTTGCCAGGCCAACAGGCTTTTAAAAATAACCCAGATCTTATTTCCTACAATGTAAAGTCCTTTCAGTTTAATAGCATATTTTGTTCGCCCCTACAAGCTCCTTCAGGAGATGGATCAACCCATCTTTGCAGAGGCTCTGAAAATCCTCCTACGTAATTCTTTCTGTTTCTTGCTAGATGGTTCACACAGTTATTTTTGGACTCAGCAAATCAAATTATTGGTTTAGTAAAGCCCTACAGCTAAGGCCAGTTATTTTATCAAATGGGGCTTTTTGCAGTTCAGCCTGTCACCTGATCAACACAAACACATGTGATGTTTTTGTTAGAGCCCATTTTAATTCACTGCTCCTTTCAAGACTATACAAAGAATGGCCAGTAGTTTTCTGGGCACAACTCAAATGCCTATGGGACTGGAGTGCTAAAATAAACAAATAGAGTGGGTAGTAGAGACTGTGGCAAATTGGAGAGTAAATATTCCTCCCAAGAATGAGAGGATGGAATGGGGCCGCGAAGAAAGTGTTCCTGAATGGGATTCTCTGTTCGTTATTTTTACTATCCTTTGAGGCATGTAGGTTCCTCATTCCTTCTGAATGTCCCCGGTCACCTGAAACTGGACATACTTCTTCTGCCTATGTTCCCAGCCGGGAACAATAGGCTCTGTTTTTGTTGGTGAGGGACAGAGATGTGGAAAAGTCAATCTACCAGCTGCTCTCGCTAAAGTATCCACCTAGTTAGTTCCTTTGTTGCAGGTGCCAGAGCCCAATATCTGACTATCCATACTCGGGATGTGCTCAGAGCCACTTCCACTTTTTGCAGGAGGCTTCTGCTATGCGTTTGTCTTCTTCTTGAATCTAATTCCTCTGCTTTCTCTCTTTCCAGGATTTCTCTTTGATTATTGTTTACCAGGGGCACCCCTTGTAATTTTTCAACTCATAAATTTAATTTATAAAAAATATATTTAATTTTTAGAGTTGGAGTATGAAATAGTGACTTCGGGAAGTCCATCATGTCAGAACTCACCTATTTCTATTTTATAGAAGATAATCAAATTATTGAAGAATAGAAATATACTGAGTATGAGGCTAGCATTTTTTGAAAATAATATCTTATTCATTTTCTTAGCTAATGCCTATAGACTATTTTGTTTTTGCATAACACAAGAAAACCATTTGCTTATAGTGAGCACCTAAGTTTTTTGGTTGACTTTTTTTTTTTTTAATTGCTCTTCCTGAGGCAGCACATCTTCCAATGCCTTCCAGTAATTCTTTTTTTTTTTTTTGAGACAGAGTCTTGCTCTGTTGCCCAGGCTGGAGTGCAGTGGCGCGATCTCGGCTCACTGCAAGCTCTGCCTCCTGGGTTCACGCCATTCTCCTGCCTCAGCCTCCCGAGCAGCTGGGACTACAGCCCGCCACCATGCCCGGCTAATTATTTTTTTTGTATTTTTAGTAGAAACGGGGTTTCACTGTGTTAGCCAGGATGGTCTCGATCTCCTGACCTTGTGATCCCTGCCCACCTTGGCCTTCCAAAGTACTGGGATTACAGGCCCAGTAATTCTTTTTTGATTTTTTTTCCTAAACTTATCCTAACTTGGGTGCCTGAGATCTGATAGAAGTGGAGTGTGAAACTAATATTATAAAATTAATTTATGCTTACATGCTGATGCAAAACAGTTGAGTGACTAATCTTAAAACTCATGGATCCAATAAAAGTAGAGATTGAGAAGGAAGCATATAAACAAAATCAGAGTTGTGTGGCAGTGACAAATCTGTATTCATAGTAGCTTTAGCTATTTGCCATCTGTCATTTTCACCTTTAGGAATCTGAGGAATATGAGATAATGAAGAGCATAGAGCTAAACATCTCATGTCCACAGTTTATATCCTTATTTTATTTTTATTTATCTCCCCAAAGTTCATTACAGTTCCTGATATGTAGGTGGTGGGTAATGAATGATCCTAGAAAAGATGATGACCTACTGTCTATTTCAGATAGTTAAATTGTTTGAACATATAGAAGCATACAAAATACAAAATATAATTACTAAAGTAACTGTTGTTTATTGAGCGCTTAATGCTCAGGACATGGTCAATTGCTTTTTCATGTTAACATTTTTCATTTTAACCAAGACCTCGTTTTATGAATGGGAACTAACTGATGCATAGAGAGCTGAAGACAAACAGATAACAAATGATAAAGTGAGGATTTGAATCCAAGGCCCTTTGACTTCAGAATCTATACTTGTTACTTGTCTACTTTTCAGCCAGTAGACTGAGAAGTGCTTGAGAAGTTCAAGACCAACTCTGTAAACAAACAAGGCAAGAAATAATTAATTACTTGGGCTGTTCAGGTAAAATCTCTGGGTTCCTTAGAGATGTGTATTTTAGGTTACCATGTTAGAGAAGAATTCCAAGCTTAGGAAGCAAAGATTGTTTTAACTTGATGAATAGTTTATTTTCATTCTTTGTTTCTTGAATTGTTATAAAAATAATTTATGCATACAATAATAAAAATCAGAGTTGTATACAATGTTTAAAATTAATAGATAAAAGATTATTCTTCATCCCCACTTCTAGACTTGCTCTGCCTAAGGGAAGGCGTGTTTAACCATTTCTGCCTGTATTTCATTTAGTGATTATTTCCATGCCATTAAATAATATATTTATAGTGCTGCTTCTGTACTAGCCTCTATTTTAGGGGCAAGGCATGTATGAATAAACAACCGTTAAAATCATCCTTCTTGTGGAGATAACTCTCTAATCAGGAGGCAATCAATGAACAAATAAATAAGCTGGGTAATGTCAGAGTGGCCAGTGTCCTCATGAAGAGAATGATATGAAGTAGTATATGGAATGGTGTGGAAAAGTGGTGAGGGAAATCCAGTTGATTTCTTGATTTATCTTGGAATTTTAGCTCTTCTCTTTCTTTGCTTCTGTTTTTTACACAAATATCTTGTGGTGTTTGGGTGGCTAATCTTATTTTTAAATAAAAGACCAGGTAGATTGTTAAAGGTGGCTTCTCATGCCTTCCCATTTAAAAGATCTGATCTGGGCCGGCGAGACAACTTTACTTTAGGGTCTGCAGCTGTGAAACGGGTCAGCCACACCCTCCCAATCTCCAGGCCAAAATGGGGAGGGATTTACTCTGAAGTGCCTATTAATAGTGGAAACAAGTTTCATGGACTATTTGAGACAAGCAGGTTAGATAAACAAGTGAAGCTTCCTGGTGAGAGAATTTTGCCTCTGATCTGCCCCCACTGGATTGTTTCCAGAAAAGAATGTGGGTATAGTATGGATGGATACCCCATTGAATGGCAAATGCAGATTTTTATATGCAGCTTCCTGATTGCTAAATTTTGAGCCTATCTTTTAAAAATTGTCAGTAGCCAAATGGAACATACGGAAGGGCCGTGGGTATGTGACTTCTTCAACACAGTGCTCCCAATCTTTTTTTTTTCTTTTTTGCATAACACAGAGAAAATATTTGGTGGTACATTGTGGTAATAGATTGAGGTTGTTCACTCTGGCCCGGGACCTCTGGATGCCTCAGTTTACCCAAGAGCTGAAAGGGTCAGTATCTCAGGACACACATGACTAGCAAGTCTATACTTGCACGTTTGCCTGTGACAGTCTGTTTATACCTGTTGTCCCAGAATAGTTATTAATAACACTCTCCTTCACTCTCAAAAGTCTTTAGATTTGAACAACAAGTTATATGGCCACACTACCCATAACCCATTCATGGCACACAATGGTTGGGAAGTTCTGGAAGTCTTTTCCTGGGGGATAGATACCATTCCTTTAGAGATAAATTCTGTGTTAGATACAACCTCTGTTGTTGCTCATGAAAGGAAGGTGGGGCAGGGGCAGCTGAAATTGTACAAGTTTTCTGTTAACTCTTCTCAATTAAATATTTTTATATCTGTTCCACTACATTTCTCCATTTTCATAACTGCCTGCCTTGAGATTGAGTTGCTGAGAACTCAGCCAGATAAAAATCTCTCATCTCTATTGCATCGTTCCGTGTGCTTCCTGAGTAATACATCCCTTGACTGTTCATAATAATAATAATAAAATCCAATGTGTTTTATGCATTACAAAAATACTTTAAATCATGAGCTTGTTAATTTGTCACCCCTTTCTCAGTAGTGTTAGTGAATAGATACCTTTTTGAAGTTTTAAATTCCATTTTTAATGGAATTTGAGTATGGAGAAAAGAGAAACGTGGGTATTCAATTCAAGATCTTGATCTAAAATTTTTACCACTTTTTCTTATTTACCCAACTGAAATTGGAAACATAGGCCCTGAATTCTGTTTTCCTTCTTGTTTTCTTGCTCCTTTGGTAGGCTTTTGCATGCTTAATAAGGGCAGAACTTCTAAATGTAAGGTTGTCATCTGTATGAAATTGAGCCAAGCTTTATCAAGATTACTGTTCAAATGCATTCAGAGATTTTGTCAGATCTTGCCTGTGGCAGTGGGGTCATCCTGCTAGTTAAATCTCAAGAGTTGCAGACTATCCAGATAAATGAGATAACAGCAGAAGTCACATATCTACCATCTGTGCAACACAACTTTTACACTGTTCAATGTCAGTGCTGCCTCTGAATCCCGGCTAGAGATCAGTTTGAGACTGGACCCGTTTAATTAGCTGGCTTCTTTAAATCCTCCCTTTCAAAGTAAATTCTAGGAAAGATATTTTGAAAAGTTAGTAGCACTCTTGTCCTCAAATGCTCTAAAGCAGGAGCCACAAATAGGCATTATCAAATAGATTAGCAGCAAAGTACCAGTGACATTTTATAACCAGTGCTTGCCAGTGCTTTTGAGATTAGGAGTGGCAGAAAGGGAAAGGATTAGAAAACTCTCGTTTAAACAATGAGCTTTGCCTGTCTCTAATAAGCTGCTTCCTTTCTTGCCTGGGAGTTTCCTAGGAAATAAGCTGCCTGTGACGCAGCATGGGTGACATCAGCTGCTTTATCTTTTTGCCTGCTTCAGTGAACAGGCACTGTGCAAACTATGTCTACTAGTAAATAATTTAATTTTGTTATCTAGACTGAGGAGTTTGCCTGCGAAAGCAAATCCTTTAAAATGATCCTGTCACCCATCACACACAGACACTTCAGGAACAACTGAGTGAATGGTTAGGGGAAAATCAGGCTTATAAAAAAATCAGGGGGTAAAACAGGAAGAGTAGCTCTTGTTTCAATTTTTAGAGAGCAGTTACCAGGGAGTTCTTTTTTTTTTTTTGAGACAGAGTCTCACTCTGTCACGCAGGCTAGAGTGCAGTGGCGCAATCTCAGCTCACTGCAACCTCCGCCTCCTGGGTTCAAGCAATTCTCCTGCCTCAGCCTCCTGAGTAGCTGGGATTACAGGTGCCCACCACCACACCTAGCTAATTTTTGTATTTTTAGTAGAGATAGGGTTTCATCATGTTGGCCAGGCTGGTCTCGAACTCCTGACCTCAGGTGATCCACCTGCCTCAGCCTCCCAAAATGCTAGGATTACAGGCGTGAGCCACCATGCCCAGACTCAGGGAGTTCATTTTTATGCTGTCTCCCTGCTCAGCTGTTTGAAGATATATTTTTATTATTCTCTTCCTGAACTAAAGTTATTGCTGAACTTAAAATTCCAGCATCACATAATACCCTAATAGTATCTATTTTTTTTTTTTTTTTGAGATGGAATCTTGCTCTGTTGCCCAGGCTGGAGTGCAGTGGCCCAGTCTCGGCTCACTGCAACCCATGCCTCCCAGGTTCAAGCGATTCTCCTACCTGAGCTTCCCAGGTAGCTGGGACGACAGGCACAAGCCACCATGCCTGGGTAATTTTTGTATTTTTAGTGGAGATGGGGTTTTGCCATGTTGGTCAGGCTGGTCTCAAACTCCTGACCTCAAGTGATCCACCTGCTTTAGCCTCCCAAAGTGCTGAGATTACAGGCATAAGCCACTGCACCCGGACCTTAACAGTGTCTTTTGTGAATGGATGGAAAGGAAAGTGATGTCACCTGAAAGGGAAGCTGTTCAGGGAAATGTTGTACTTTTTGGTCATTATTAAATCCTTTTTAAAAAAGGGATTGAACCTTGAAAAACTATATAGCTTATTATTATGCCCATACAAAAAATGTAAAACAAGGCAGCCCTGCAAGTGGATCTTAAAGGACATATTCTAGTCACATCATTTTTGGAAAATTAGAATAGAAGGATTTCATACTCAGAGGGCATGGATCCAATGGAGTCCTACCTCTGCCTACAGTAACATGAACCTGGCGAAGACCCTTAACCTTTCTGTGCTGTAGATTTCCCATGTGCACGGAGAGGTGAGGATACTGGGTCTGTCTAATCACAGAGTTCCTGTGAGCATCTCATACATTTTAGATACGTTTAAAAATTTTCTAAAAAGCTGTGAGGAATACTGAATGTGAGGTAGTAGTATTTTCATATGTTTGTCTTAAAACCTGACAGCTAAGAAGTTTGTTCATCTTGTGTAGACAAGGAAACTATTACATTACACAGGTATTTTCCTTTTCAATTTAAACTGGCCGAATTGTCAATTATCTCAGCTGAAGCTGAACACAGGTATGTGTACAGAATCAATGTTCTTTCATTCCAATGTCTTCTGTCATTGATCATATGATTTCATAAGCTTAGCAGTAATAGGAAATATTTTAACAGCAACATTCTGATATTGGTAGGAGTTGAATTCTTTGGTTATATCACATTTCACTCTGAAATTTTTTATGTCTTTTACTCTCGTGATTTTTTTCCATAGACCCTTATTTTCTGAATAAAAGGTACTTACAAACTAATTTTCCATCTTCTACCTAAATTCTGGTTCTCTTTTAATTCAATTCCTGCATACTGAACCTGAATCTATGGTTTACATTATATGATGAGAAAGCATTCAATCAGCCCGGTGTATCTACTCTGTCCAGTTTTGACAAATATATAAGGTGAAGTTTCAAGCTCCTATGTAATTTAGGTTTCTTGTGACTAACCAAAACCACTACAGCAGCTAATTTAAGAACGTTTTTCCCACTCAGATTTTTATAGCTTCCTCCTACATTGTTACTAAGAAGAAAAATAGACAAATATCACATCTTGAGTCACGAAGTATGTGTCTCATTAGGGCATTCTTGAATTTCAAAGAAATTTCAGGGTGAATCCATATATATATATAATCCTCCCTAAGACGTGTTAGGCTGAAAAAGCGAAAGCCACTTACTGAGCTTTTGAGTTTTGAATCAAACAGCATTGCCCTGCCAAGGCCTACACACAATTCATATGAAGCTCATTGCAACCAATCATAGAGGAGAGAAGAATTTAGTAAGAATCCTTGTCCAGAATTTTGTTGATTGAACTTTGCAGAGATTGGCAGAGATTGGCTGACCTCCTTAAAGTCACACTGCTGGCTCTTGGGTGCTGAGCTGGAACCAGAATGCGAGTCTCCAGCACAGTCCAATGCCCCCCCACTACTTCATGGCGCCTACTATATGCTTTGCTGCTCCATGTACCAAACCTTAAGAAAGTCAAGAAATAGAAGAATTTTGCCTGTTTGTTTACTTCATTTTCCAACCAAGAGCAGTCTATTAGATTACTGGGGAAATGTTGGTCAATGGAGATGTGACTAAGTCTCCCTGCTGTGAAATTTAGGCTTTTTGAAGTCCAAACACAGATGGAGAAATGTAATTGAACCTTTCAGATTGTTATCAAATCGAATCAAGAAAAAAAAATTTCCACCTCAGTGAACAACTGTGTTGAAAACATGTGTCAACCTGAAAATAAATTTGTTTATTTATGAAAAGCAAATTAATTCTTCCTGTTCTCCAGAACTGACTTATTTAACCTTTGCATTAAGGACATCTTACTGAATGACTTTGGGTAGAATAAAGAATCTAATGATTTGTTTAAGAGTAAGGAGAATTAGCTGAGCCCTTGCTTGGCACCCAAGTTTTTGCTTAGTACTAATGAGCTTTTTGGTGGACAAGGAAATTTTTCCTTCTAACTAATACATGCAAAATCATAAGAGCAAAATACATCTCATGGCAACTGACTGCTAGTCCGTTAATGTGTTACTATCATCACTAGTTGTCAGCTCCTTATTTACTAATTACTTATGGCTCTGTCTCACAGAAGTTTGGGCATATCAATTTTTCTAAATATATTGGAGGTTTATTTCAAAGGTAATTTTTACTTCTGTAAATAACATAGGACTGTGGTTCTAGTTTAAAGATTAATCTTAAGAAGTTACTTGAAGCTCATTGGTAATAAATTTGAAGTCACATGTTAATCTCATGTGATGAAAGCATCATGGTTCAGTGAAAAGAGTAATAGATTTGGAATCAGAGAGCTGATTCCATCTCTTGTTGATTGAGTGATCTTTGGAAAGTTACATATGTACACTGAGCTTTAGTTTATTATCTGTTAAACTGATATAAACTTCTTATTTTATTTTATTTTATTTTTTTGAATTTTTTGAGACAGGGTCCCCATCTGTCACTCAGGCTGGAGTGCAGTGGCACAACCACAGCTTACTGTAGCCTCAACCTCCTGGGCCCAAGCGATTCTCCCACCTCAGCCTCCCAAGTAGATGGGACTACAGGCACATACGACAAAGCCCAGCTAATTTTTTTACTTTTTTATAGAGACAGAGTCTCAATATGTTGCCCAGGCTAGTCTCCAACTCCTGGACTCAAGCAATCTTCTGACTTCGTCCTCCCAAAGTGCTGGGATAGCAGGTGTGAACCACTGCATCTGGCCAACGTCTTATTGAATAAAGTTATTCAGATGGCTGCATGAGACAAGATTTTTGAAACTCAATAAGGGAAAAATTATTCTAATATAAAAAATTTAATTCAATGGATAATAAATTAAGGAAAGCATGACAGGGCTAAAATCTAGTAGGTAGTGATGGCAAGCTTTCAATATTCTTTTTTATTCCTCAGAATACTTTTTTATTCCTCAGAAGGAGTAGAGAGGAAGAAGATAGATTGACAGTAACGTTGAGGTTTTAAGCATAGGAAGAGAAGGCTAGGACAGATGGAGGGTTCTGTAGAGGAAGCTACATATGACCTGTGCTTAGAAGACGCAATATGTCGATACTGAGGAAAAGGGCCTTTCAGGAAAAGGAAACAGCATGTTTACGAATCTTGAGACAGGAAATTTGTGAAAGGTATGCAGTTTGGTAACTGTGGCAAAGTTACAGAACCGAACTGGGGTCCACTCACCTGGTGCAGTAAAACCAGATGTCTACTCTAAGGTTTTGCAGCAGTAGAAAGAAAGGCATGGCCGGGCGCGGTGGCTCGTGCCTGTAATCCCAGCACTTTGGGAGGCCGAGGTGGGTGGATCACCTGAGGTCAGGAGTTCAAGACCAGCCTGACTAACGTGGCAAAACCCTGTCTCTACTAAAAATACAAAATTGGCCAGGTGTGGTAGCGGGCGCCTATAATCCCAGCTACTCGGGAGGCTGAGGCAGGAGAATAGCTTGAACTCAGGAGGCAGAGGTTGCAGTGAGCTGAGATCGCACCATTGCACTCCAGCGACTCTGTCTCAAAAAAAAAGAAAGGACTTTGCAGAGCATCAGGCAAGCAAGGAGGACCAGGCAGCTAAACACTCAAACCCTGAAAGGCAGGGGTAAATTTAGGGAAAGCAGAAGCTACTGGTAAAATCATAAATCAATACGTGGAGGTTACACATTGGTTTTGGCCTAAAAGGTGGGGTAGCTTGAAGCAGAGGCTTATAGGTTACAGGTAGTTTCAGAGATTTTCTGATTTGCAATTGGTTAAGGAATAGAATCTTTGTTTAAAAATTTGGGGTCAGCAGAAAAGTGCTACCTAGCTGAGGGGTGTGATTTTCTCCAAGCCCCTCAGCAAGAAAAAATGATGGTCAAAATTTAGTCTTCAGTTTTCCCTTATCTGAGGTCTACAGGCCATTGGATCGATTTGGTGGGTGTCCTCACTGGGGGTCTGAGTCCCTGGAAGACAACTCAGGGACACATGTTAAAATGTTATTTTTAGTTCCTGTAAGGAAAGCAAACATCTGTGAACTCTAAATTCCTTGACTATAGTTTTAGTCTAATATTACCTTCTTTTTTTTTTTTTTGAGACAGACTCACTCTTGTCGTCCCAGCTGGAGTGCAATAGCATGATCTTGGCTCACCGCAACCTCTATTTCCCGGGTTCAAGCGATTCTCCTGTCTCAGACTCCCGAATAGCTGGGATTACAGGCACCTGCCACCATGCCCAGCTAATTTTTGTATTTTTAGTAGAGATGGGGTTTCACCATGTTGACCAGTATGGTCTCGAACCTCTGACCTCAGGTGATCCACCCACCTCGGCCTCCCAAAGTGCTGGGATTACAGGCATAAGCCACTTCACCCAGCCCTATTACAACCAGGTGGTAGAGGTAGCAGCACAACCTCTACCACCTGGTTGTAACAAGTCTTTAACAAGTCACTTATTTGCTTCTGTGATTAGCTAACTAGATACCTGGAATTTCCCTTGAAGGAATTCGGGATTTTACTTTATTTCCATTCTTGGAGGTCCACAGGCCCCTAAAAAAAGGGGGTCCCTGCTTCATCTCAGGACAGGAAATAGCTGAGAGTAACTGAGAACAACAAAGAAAGCTTCCCAGGCCCATAGGCAGGGATTCTAAGGTAAAGTGCTTTTTAATCCTTCCTGAAGATTCTCCATATCATTTTATTTGGGTCGCTCGATGATTTTACAGCATAGCTCTCTCTTTCTGTTCAGCATAGTTGATGTGGCCTTTCTCTTCAGAGCTTCTTTGGCAGCAATCCCAGACAACTTTCACCTCTCAGAAAAATGGAGATCCATTACTCCTGTTTGAGGGAGGGTAATTCAAAAGAAACACTTACAGATCCTTAAAATGATTAATGGCCTCTCAAGTTGGATGCTGGGTTGTCCCAGACCTGTCTCACTGTGTAAGCTTGAAATAAGATTAGGAAGTTTGCAGCTTAGGTGTGGACATTTTACAGTTATGGAAATAAAGATACACAGTTCCTTCCTTCAGTATTGGCATGTGATATAAATGTGGAACACAGGTATTCCCTTGAAAGACCACCATTTGCTCTGTCTCCCAAATTAGGCCATTTGCTTCAGCATAAAATAAATGAAAGACCCAGTATTAGGAAAGTAAGTCACTCAATACCATTGAATTCTTGGTTAGTGTATGGTGACTAGTCATGTCTATCTTTCACCGGTGTTATTTTTTACCTTTATGACCACACCTGATCTGAAGGGAATAACTAAAAGATGAACGTGAGAAATAAGATTTGACAATCTGTGAGGTAGGTCTGAAGTGAGATCCAAAGTCAGCCATTTTACATTTTCTTTATTGACTCTCATAAGTGGAAATGACATTTGCAAATTTCTTATTTCTTATACAATCATTCAATATAATGAAAGAATATCCAACATAAAACTATATAATCTATCAAAATTAATCTCTCATTAATACACACCACATACACACACACACCCGTATAGCCACACCTTTTCCATACACACACTTCCTGGCATTATGTCAGAAGAGTTTATGAGTGTGTATCTGTAATGGTGCATTAGTTGTCCATTAGTTGTGGGTGTAGATTTTGTATTACTTTCCAAAGATTTGCTTAGGCTACATTGTAGATTGGATCCAGTGGGTGGGCCCTTGTAAGATCAAGGTTCAGAGTGGACTCAACCTTCAAGCATTAGGAGAGGAGGGAGATAGCATGTACCCACAGTGAGAGCAAGTAGCATCCACACTATCAAAGCTGAGAGGTTTTTATAATCCTAGTATCTTGGCCCTAGATATGATTACTGCACACATTGGTGCTACGACCTCTACCACCTGGCTATAAATTTTATGTACAAACTGAAAGGGGGAAAATTAGTTTGCTCAGGGCATGTAACTTAACCTCAGAAAGAGTCACCTTATCAGTGCAATTTGCACATCAGAGAATGATACTTACTTTGTATGTTGTAAAAAAGTTATGTGAAGCAAGTTTCTGACTTCACCCACAGGCCTAAGTGCAACTTTGTAAGAGTGAGCCATCACTAGATTTTAGTATCTGGTTAAAAGCAGGAGGTACACATTGGGTTGCCAGTATTACCTACCAGTTGCTTGTGAATGAATTTTAATGAGAGCCTGACATAAGGGTTGTGAATAAATGATTGAAATTCAAATAGCTCATAATAAATACCAGTTCTGGCAGGCCAATATACATATGCAGGATGAGTCTGGAAGACAGTATGGTTTTGTTTGAAAAGTTTAATTTAATTAATTTAAGACTTACCTTCTGCTAGATTTGGTGTATAATTATAAGGTCTTTCTCTTTTATTCCTTTCTGTCATTAATGGATGAAATAAAATGTTTTACTAAGTTTTGATTGGATTCAGAACTGGGCAAGAGTGACGGTATCTGTTAGTAGAAAGGAAAGCAGTTAGAGTCCCAAGCTGTGTGTCTTCAGTTTATTTAGCATGCAGTGTCTGTTAAGGTTTTTTTTTGTTTCTGTTTTTTCATAAGAGAATATCTTGAAATAGCTCAGAGGATGATTTTGCCATCAAGTTGAAGAACTTGATGAGTTTAGAATGTATGACAATAAGACCTATATTTACCATGAAACATTTTGTGAAAGATCTCAGTTGGAACAAACTTTTCTGTTGGAGTCCATTAGTCTATTGAAACTTCCCCAAGAAATCCCATGAATTGAGCCAGAACCATTTCCTCCTGTTGGTGAGAAGGAGGAATTGATGGAGAAACGATAGTAGAGTAGTTATCAGATTCATAAAACAGTTAGGAAGAAAGCTTTCAAGTCATATATGACTTCCAGTCCATTACTTAGTTTCCTGACTTCCACTTCCTTCCTTTCAAAGTTCCTACAAAATATACATATGAGATAAAAATAATTAATTATAATTCTCCCTTCAGTTGCTATAGCAATGGCAGTTTCTTAATGCATACTCTGTTTATGCCCTTCTGAATTAATTTAGCAAAAAGCAGCCCAATTTTAGAAATAAAGTCCTTTCAAAATAGGTGTCAAGTGGTTTGATAGGGATTTTATGGTGTCTAGATGAGAATTTCTCAAGACTTCCTGAAAGGCCAGGGCCTTCTGACTAGGATTAGAAGGTGGAGGCTGCACGTTTCCTCTTCCCTTCTATGGCTGTTTTATTTTGAGAACAGCTATTTCTCAAAATAAGTCCAGATTAGGAAATATATTGAATAATATTCAAAATCCTTTGTTTTTTACAATCCCATACAAAAAAAATGGATTCAGAATTTATGTATTTCCCTCCCCAGACCCACTTTATTGTCTTTTCTTTTTTTTTCTGATTATTCCCAAAGAGAAAAATAGAGTGTTAAAATAATTTTATTCAAAGTGATTTCTAAAATCCTGAAGAGCAAACATTGTTCTGTTATTATTTTATGAACAGTAAATGAGAAGTATCTGGCCATTCTAGAAGATAAGTACTTTTCTGTAGTTGCTAGATTTATTCTTACAGTTGTCTGTAATTATAATGATATTTGAAGCAGAATATACTTTAATAAAGTAAAACATTTCAGATATATATTTATAGAGAATAATTCGCTAATGTAAAACTTCAGTATGCTAAGAAACAGGTCAATTTTTCTTCCTTTGAGAAAAAATATTTGGTCAAAAACCCATAACTAAACTCTTTGATGCTGCCTATTAACATCTGAGAAAATCAACACAATTAATCGAACAAAGATTTGTATTATCTCTCTCCTGCATTGACCATTTGAATTTATTCATCCAAATTTTGGTCCAACTATGAGTCATCTTTACTGGAATAAAATGGAACCTGGTAATAGAGCTCTAGTTCTTATATATGATAAATAATTTAAAGAATTCAACCCACTGTATTCAATCAATTTTATGGGATTAATCAGGGTTCCATCAGAGAAGCAGAACCAGTAGGAGGTATATATTTGTTACAGGGACTTTACCATATCCGTATGTGTAAGCTTCTTGGCGCTCCAATTAACCCATGAAAATCTCCATTATGGTCTAATGGGGAATTCTGGGAAATGTAGTTTATCTAGCCAAGTTGTTACATGACAAAAGCACCATATGTGGTTTGAGATTTAAATACAATCACATGTCACATAATGATGGTGATGTGCTCTGGGAAATGCATCATTCGGTGATGTCATTGTTGTGCAAACATCATCGAGTGTCCTTACACAAACCTAGATGGTGTAGCTTACCACAGGCCTAGGCTATATGGTATACTATTGCTTCTAGGCTACAAACCTGTATAGCATACAACTGTATTAAACACTGTAGGCAATTGTATCACAGTGGTATTTGTGTATCTAAACATAGAAAAGATTCAGTAAAAATACAGTGTAGGCTGAGCGCAGTGGCTCACGCCTGTAATCCCAGCACTTTGGGAGGCCAAGGCGGGCAGATCACAAGGTCAGTAGATCGAGACCATCCTGGCCAACATGGTGAAGCCCCATCTCTACTAAAAATACAAAAATTAGCTGGGAGTGGTGGTGCATGCCTGTAGTCCCAGCCACAAGGGAGGCTGAGGCAGGAGAATCGCTTGAACCCAGGAAGCAGGGTTGCAGTGAGCCGAGATGGCGCCACTTAACTCCAGCCTGGTGACAGAATGAGACTCCATCTCAAAAAAAAAAAAAAAATACAGTGTAAGAGATAAAAAATGATACATCCTATGGGGCACTTACCTTAATGGAGTTTACCAGACTAGAAGTTGCTCTGAGTGAATCAGTAAGTGAGTGGAAAGTGAATGTGAAGGCCTAGGACTTTGCAAACTATTGTGGACTTCATATATGAACACTGTACACTAAGGCTACACTAAATTTATTTTTAAAAATTATTTCTTCAAGAATAAATTAACCATAGCTTACTGTAACATTTTTTACCTTATAAACTTCTAAATTTTTAAAAACCTTTTGACTCTTGTAATAACACTTAGCTTAAAACACAAGCACGATGAACAGCTATACAAAAATATTTTCCTTATATCCTATTCTGTAAACCTTTTTCTATTTTTTAAGTTTTTATTTTATTTTTAACCTTTTACACTTTTCTGTTAAAACCTAAGACACAAACACACACACTAGCCTAGGCCTACACAGTCAGTCACAATCATCAATATCACTGTCTTCCACCTCCACATCTTGTCCCATAGGAAGGTCTTCAGGGGAAATAACATGCCTAGAGCTGTCATCTCCTATGAGAACAATGCTTTTTTTTCTGGAATACCCCCTAAAGGACCTGTCTGAGGCTGTTTACAGTGAACATTTTTTTTTGTAAGTAGAAGGAGTACACTCTAAAATAACCACAAAAAGTGTAGCATATAAAATATATAAATGAGTAACAGCCATTTATTACCATTATCAAGTATTATGTACATAATTGTATGTGCTATCCCTTTATATGATGGACAGCACAGTAGGTTTGTTCACACCAGCATCACAGCAAACAAGTGAGTAATGTGTGTTGCTATGATGTTAGGACAGCTACAGCGTCCTTAGGCAATAGTAATATTTCAGCACCGTTATAATCTTATGGGACCATCATTGTCTGTGTGGTCCATCAGTGGCTAAAATGTCATTATGTGGTACAAGACTGTACTTCCTTTAAACCTTCAGAGATTAAAAGAAATGTAAAATGCCCCAATCTACCTCAAGCTTCTTGCAAATGATCTTTTAAAACCTGATTTAAAAAATCAATCTTTAGAACTGTAAATAACACAAAGTGGGAAATGACACTAACTTTTGCCAAACAAAATATTGCCTCTTAAAAATAATAATCAGTAAACCATATGTCAATATAAATCACACATATATTGCTTGTTATTATGCAGAGCAGGCACACCTCAGAGTTATTTCTGGTTCTGTTCCACACCACTGAAATAAAACAAATATTGCAATAAATTGAGTCACACTGTTTTTGGTTTCCCAGTGCATATACAGGTTATGCTTACAGTTTACTATTAAGTGTGTAATAGCATATGTCTAAAAAACCAATGTGCATACCATAATTTAAAAATACTTTATTGCTACAAAATGCTGAAACAGAGACACAAAATGAGCATATGCCTTTGGAAAAAAGGCACAAATAGACTTACCTGATGCAAAGTTACCATAAACCTTCAATTTGTACAAATGCAGTATCTGGGAAGGGCAATAATGTAATGCACAATAACACAAACTATGCCTGGATAATATAATGAAGAATAAGAGTGAGATCTTTGAAATCTGACACTTGGAGAAATGTGAGTGCTAACACTTGTAAGATGCTAAACCACCACTTTCTCATATACAAAATGAAGACAATACCTAAATCTTAGGGTTGCTTGGAGGTTAGCTGTGATAATGTATTACATACATTCTTTCATCTAGCTGTTAGCATAGTGCCTGGGACATAGTAACCACTAAAAAATTATAACCATAGTTATTATTAATAAAATGTTCACCATTATTTTTTTAAATATTTTTTGGCTTTTATTTGTAAAACAGTGATTGATAGCTTTGACCCTATTTTGGTTAAATGAAATTCCTGACAGTACTTGATCAAAAGGTGAATATAGAGATTCTAAGGATACCTTATTGATTTTTCAAGTTTATGAATTTTAAATCCCTAGTGCTGAAATGAGCTTTCTGCTGTCACTCATTTGCTTCAGGGCTGACTTGTTTTGAAGCCAGTGGGCAGCAGAGAAAAGCACCTGGTAAGTGGTGCAGCAGGAGAAAACGCCTCTTTTGAGACACACTTTTCTTATCCTCGTCATTCCTGTACAAACCTGCTTTATTTGCAGATGGTCGAGGTCCTGAAGCCAAATAATAAGCAAATGCAATTAGGGGAAATGTATAAAATGTTCATAGGTAAGACTGACTTTCCTTCACTCCTCTGGCTGCAGGAATTGTAATTATTTGTAGCAGGAAGTAATAAGGGCAAGGAAATTTATTCTGGCTCTATCCTATAAAATGGGTGAAAGTGGTAATTTGTAATCCTCAGCGGGTTTGCTTCATCTGCCTGCTGAAGAAATATTGTGCTTGTGTGGTCTTTTCAGACATGAGGATGAACTTAAATCCCTCTTCTCTCTGTCAACAATATCTATTTTAGGAAAGCCATTCTACTCTTGGAAAACAAATGTAGAATTTTTAGGATAAAAATAGATTGAATAAACCTTATTCTTATATGCAGGCATTCTGAGAGTATGAGACCATACAGCATAAGGGAGGTGATGATAAAGGAGATGATTTTATCCCTTACTTTATCAGGACTTCTCATCAGATATAAATAAAGAAATATTAGAAAATATAGAATGACTTCAATGGTATTGAAATTTATTAGACTTGGAGTCAGAAGATCTGTTTGAGCTATAGTTTTGCCACCCGCTATTTTCTTTAGCTTGGTACTTATGATCTTGGACTACAGATTTATCCACAATAAAACAGGGATGATAGCATTTGTTCTATTTGCTATATAGTATTGTTGGAAAGATTAAATATCATAATGAAACATTATATACAAGTATGTGTAATGTATAATGTTTCATTACGTTATTTGATAATAGAGATGCCACTACTTTCTCTATTACCAAACTACCAATGAAGAAAAATAATAGAACCAAAGAGCTAGAATATGCCTTGAAGTAAATTTTGAAAAATTTTAGGGCTGCCATTTGTTAGGTCAACATTTATTGCATATGGCTAATGGATATAGTCATTTTCTTTAGTATTCTTTATATATTATATGCCAAGTAAAAAAAAATTATTTATAATAATGTTGATTATGATGGCATGCTTCAAATTGCAGGCCCTAGAGGTTGTCAATCTAAATAACAAACAGAGAGGCTCTAAAAGAAAATGATGTTTATTTGGGTCTATGGCATTGCAATAGGAGTATGTGTGCCGTAGTAAACTATGTGCATCTTCAGGGAGATAAAAGAAGACCAAAGGTTTTTTTTTTTCTTTAAATGAGGAGGATTACATAATTATTTTGACTTTGTAGTCAATTGTTCTTGACTACAAGGAGCAATAACAAGGGTGGTGCCATTTAGAGGTTTGACAGGCAGTTTTTGGGAAGATGTCCTCCTAGAAATAATTTTTTTGCATAAGGTTGTGATGGCGTTTGTGCGAGGTTGTGGTTTTTGCGAGTCTTTTGTGATAGTTCTTGTTATCAGGCATTTGTATATGAGAATCCACCCTTCATAGTCTTCCTGGCTCTATTTGTCAGTGTTTTAAACCCAAGTGACTCCATTTTGATTCTGAAAACTTTCACGTTGTCTAGAGAATTCTGGAAAAGTACATAGTAGTGTGGCTGCTCTAATCCTTAGTTTAATATGAAGGATGTTTCTTGACATATATTAGAACTTATGGGACAGGGAGGCTGGTACACATAATTTTAGCTACTGTGGAACAATAAAATCCACATTTCCTTAGATGTTCTGTACAGCTTTATACTGTCAGTATGCTGTTTTTCTTCCTTTTTATTTGAGCCTCACCACCAGTCTGAAGTCCATGTTTTGCATGGCTGTTGTTTGTCATCCTTAAAGCATATTTTCTTGTTGTCAGGCCTTGTATCCCAGCTACCTCCTTCTCCTTTAGTTTCTTTAGCTGTCTTTTAGGGGAGGTGTTTGCTGTGCCATTGAAAAGGTGGAGATAAAACACTCATCACTTATTACAAGGTGATAATGAAAGAAAATGGATTTAAAAGATAGCAGCTGAGACTAACATTAAATGTAGTGGTACAAGAATCAGTTGGTTAAGGATTAGGAGATTCAGTCAAAAAGGTATTTGGTGAGAACTAAAGACAAGCTTGGGTCTGGAGATGGAGTTACAGTGCATAAGCATAGTCCCTGTTCCCCACAACTCACAATAGAGTGTAGTAATTCTCAAACCTCATTCTGTACCAATCACCCAGAGGCCTTTAAAAATACAGATGCCTGTGTTCAATCCTTAGAAATCCTGATTGAATTCTTCCATAGTGGGCCCTGGAGAAGTGCATAGTTTTAACTGCTCCCTACATGATTTTATCTAATCAGTTCTGGTTTTATTCTTTCATATACTATGAAATCAGGTAAGTCTCAAAATATACTTCTAGCCTACCTATCTATGAAACATGGATAATATCATCTGCTCTTTATTCATTTATATCATAAACACAGCATTCATATTTTGTGTTAGACATTATGATATGTCAGAGAGGCAAGTTACAATATTCATTGTAAAGGGGATTGTAAGCAGAAAATTTGAAGTAAAACTATAAACCTGAAAAGCAGATTTGTTCATGGCTTTTGACGTCAACTCTGTATACAGCAGAGAAGACAGGAACTTTGAGCTAATTGATTGATCAAATCAGTTCCTGCACCTGAGCAGCTGAAAGCTTCTGGCAAAAAAATCACTTGCTTGTGTTGGCCAGTTTTTCTTTAATTTAATCACAAGCACATGTCACTGACTGGTAACCTTACTAAATGTGCTGGTTTAGTGATTTAAAATCCTACTTGCAGAAACTATTATTTCACACTCTTTCCAAAACCTCCAACATCACCTCCAGTCAACTATCAGTTGCTGACATTGCTTATTTTACTGAGAAAATCAGAAGCAATTAACAATGAATCCCATTGTTTTTCAAACATCAGATTTATCAGTTTACCATCATACCTACCCATATGTTTTGCCTTTCTTCCTGTTATAGTTGTTCCTGCTCATATCTAAGTCTAATTCCTTCTGTGTTCTACATCTACGTGTGTTTTCAGCTATCAAAGCACTTCTACAATTGTCTCTGCTCTCACCTGCATCATCCATTTATCCCTGCCTGCCAGATCTTTCCCATCAACAAATATGCACTAATGGCACCTACCTGAGAAAAACTAAACAAGACTATCATCCAAGGAACCTACAGTGTCCTCCAGCTCTTAATCTCATCTCCCTTCTTCTCTGTAAAACTTCTTCAAAGTATCTGTATGGGCTGTCTCTACTTCCTCACCTTACCACATTCCAATTGAGTCATTAATTTTATCTATATATTCTCTGAAAATGTCTTTTTGTCCTTAAACTACATATACACATATATACACTCCCTGTAAATGTCTTATCAAATCAGAAGACATGGTGGTCAAGTCTCTGTTCTCCTCTAAGTCAGCCTCCAGATGGTATTTGAACACAGGCAGCCACTTCTGGAAACATTCTCTTCTCTTCCTTTGGTATCTACCACATTGTCTTGGTTATCCTGTTACATAACCAATTACTTGTTTTTAGTCTCCTTTGATCATGTCCTCAAATGTTGAGCCTCCCGGAAGTTACTCCTAGGCCCTCCTTTGGCCTCTATCAGAACTCTTGTCATCTCTTCTGGTTCCACAACTTGTAGTCTGTCAAGGGATAAACTATTAACACATTTAGATATTAACATATTTAGTCTACTAAGGGATAACCAGCAGGTGTATATATCCATCTTTCTTATCCCCTGAACTCTCTCTGCACAAACCTGCTCTTGCTCCTCCTTCAATCTTACCCAACTCAATAAATAAAATTAATTGTCCCTGCTTTTCAACTCTAAAACCTAAATACCAGCCTTCATTCCATTCTTCATTCTACCACATCAGATCTGTCAGGAAGTTCTGTTGGCAAGATATCCAAAATGTATTTCACTCTGACCACTTTTTGACATCATCAGGTTACCTCTTTTGTTCAAGCTACTTTCATCTCTGCCTCAACAGTGCATCAGGCACCTAAATGGTTTCATTGCTACTGCCTTTGCCTTCCTGTAATTTATTTGACAGATTTGTCGGAGTGATTTTAAAAAATCAGATTATGTTGCTCACTTTAATGGCTTCAATTGCAATTTTAATATAATCCATCTCCTTTAAACAAATCAACTCTAAAAAGACTTTTTTTTTGAGAGAATTAGGGAAATTTGAATGAGTATTTGAGAATTTTAAGGGATTGTAGTTAATTTTGTTCTACTTTTATATATGTTTAACGATTTTCATTAATTCATATAAAGTTGAAGGAGGACAGGTAAAGTTTCAGCCCTTTGCCATGGCCCTATAGGAGTGAATGTCTGGCTGCTTCCCTGGCCTTTCCTTTCACTCTCTCTTTGGTTGGCTATAGTCGAGCCACATTCACCTACTTTCTTTTTCTGAACACTTCAAGCCTTTGCACCTTTTGATCCCTCTGCCTGGGACGCTTCACAGAACTGGCTTATTTAGGTCTTATGCCAGAGACAATTCCCCTAACTTTTCCCCATCTCTCTTCTGCTTCCCTGTAAAACTTTCCATCCCCACAACCTCCATACACTCTATTTTTTTTTTTAATTTTATTTTTTTATTTTTATTTTTTTGAGACAGAGTCTGCCTCTGTCGCCCAGGCTGGAGTGCAGTGGTGCGATCTTGGCTCACTGCAAGCTTCGCCTCCCGGGTTCACGCCATTCTCCTGCCTCAAGCCTCCCGAGTAGCTGGGACTACAGGCGCCTGCCACCAGGCCTGGCTAATTTTTTTTTTGTATTTTTATTAGAGACAGGGTTTCACCGTGTTAGCCAGGATGGTCTCGATCTCCTGACCTCGTGATCTGCCCGCCTGGGCCTCCCAAAGTGCTGGGATTACAGGCGTGAGCCACCGAGCCCGGCCTCCATACAGTCTCCTTTTAAAAATTAGTTGACTTTGTTTACATGTTTATTATTTCTTTTCTCTACTAGAATTTAAGCACCATGAGTCAGAAACTTGGTTCTAAGATGGTGCATAGTGGGTATTCAATAAATACTTGCAAATGAAGGAATTGGTCATTACTTTTTCTTCCGTTTTAAAAATGAGAAAACCAAGACTGTAAAAATTAAATACTTTTTCCTAATGTCACAGATATTAAAAGGCAGAACTGAGATGCGAACCCAAGTTTTTCTGATTTAGGAGCCGTTTAAAACTCTATTATATAATTTTCTGCTAGAATAAATTAACGGAGGACAGAGGCAGAGCATAATCCCCCACTCACAAAACTGAAAGAAGAATTGTCTTTGTAGCTATATAGACTTAGGAAGAAATTCCATGAATTTTATTAGATTCTCAAAGGAGTTCTTGAGCCCCCAAATTTTAATCATTGTCTCTTTGGTTGCTACTATGGCAACTTACAATGTTAGAGTCTCAATACAGTACGAAAAATTTAAACTGCTTGCTGACTAAAGCATTATGTTATCCAGTCCTAAACATAAACATTTGTCAACACTTTAACTTTTCTGGATTTAATACATTTTTTCACAGGCCATTGGGCATCCCTATTTGCCTCCATACTGGTCTCTGGGATTTCAGCTGTGTCGATGGGGTTACAATAGCCTAGATATGCTGAAAACCACAGTTGGACATTTAAGACAATATGATATTCCCCATATAAATGTACTCAAACAGTATGGAGGGCATTGAGAGGAACAAGGAAATCAGAAAGTATAGTAATTATCCTGTAATATATATGTGTGTGGATGTGGATGTGTGTGTGTATAAGAGAGAGAGACGTGTAACTGTAATCATTTTCATATATTATCTTCTCAGTTCCAATAAAATAATCATTTTCATTCTCTTTTTCTTACAAGATAACCCAAAACTCACACTAATATTTAAATTTCTAATTGAATGCAGTCACTTATAAGCTACTTGTGAATCTGCAACAATATCTGTTTGTCTGTTTTCCTGATGTTGGAATCTTATATCTGTGTTGCTCCTTGGTACAGGATGTTCAGTATTGTGATATCGACTGCATGGAACGTCAGATGGACTTCATATATGATGAGGACAAATTTGATGGTCTGCCTGAGTACATTAAGGAACTGAAAATGATGGAATGCAATATATCATTGTTTTGGTAAATTTCTTTTGAAGATCAAACACAATATTTTAATTTATATTTTCTAAGCATTTCTAAATATATATATATATTATAATTAATTTATCAAAAAGTAGAAGTCCCAACACTAGTATAATCTTGAGGAATAAAATTTTATAATATTTAATGATAAATGTTATGTTTCATTAAAGGATGATAGATTATAAGTACATTTTATGTTATTTAATGACATAGAAATGTCATCAAGTGATGAAGGAATTCAGTTTAGTTTTTAAAACTCAGTGCTCTTGCTAAAAGAAAATTAACATATTGATTTCACCATCGAGGTTTTTTCCACCATTTCACAGCTTTATCTCAAAGAAGCAACAAACACAAAACCAGGTAAGGTTGCATACCAAAATAGCAAGAGTATTTCCTTTATCTATTCGTATAACTTTCAAAAATTTTTATATAAAATTTGTGTGGGTACATAGTAGGTGCATGTATTTATGAGGTACATGCATAATGTACCTTTGATACAGGCGTGCTATGTGTAATAATCACTTTAGGCTAAATGAGGAACCCATCACCTCAAGCATTTATCCTTTGTGTTACAAACAATCCCATTATGCTCTTTAAATTATTTTTGAATGCACAATTAAATTATTATTGACCGCAGTTACCCTATTGTATTATCAAATACTATTCTTTATTCTTTCTATTTTTTTTGTGTCCATTAAGCATCCCCACTTCCCCCCACCCCATACTATGCACCCCAGCCTCTGATAACCTTTCTTCTATTTTTATCTCTATGAGTTGAATTGTTTTAATGTTTAGAACCCACAAATAAGTGGCAACATGTGATCTTCATCTTTCTGTGCCTGGCTTATTTCTCTTAACATAATGATCTCCAGTTTTATCCATGTTGCTGCAAATGACAGGATCTCGTTCTTTTTTATGGCTGAATAGTACTCCATCTTCATTGCATCTAAGTACTACATTTTCATTATCTGTTCATTTGTTGATGAATACTTAGGCTGCTTCCATATCTTGGCTATTGTGAATAGTGCTATCATATTGAAGAGATTGCAGATATCTCTTCAACACACTGATTTCCTTTCTTTTGGGTGTGTACACAGCAGTGGGATTGCTGGATCATATGGTAGCTCTATTTTAGTTTTTTGAGGAAACTAACTGATTCTCCATAGTGGTTGTACTAATATACATTCCCACCAACTGTGTATGAGGGTTCCTGTTTCTCCACATCCTTACCAGCATTTGTTATTGCCTGTCTTTTGGATATAAGCCTTTTTAACTGGGGCGAGATGATATCTCATTGTAGTTTTGATTTGCATTTCTCTGATGATCAATAGTATGCACCTTTTCATATACTTGTTTGCCATTTGTATATCTTCTTTTGAGAAATGTTCATTCAGATCTTTTGCCTATTTCTAGTTTGATTTTTCCTATAGAGTTGTTTGAGCTCCTTATATATGCTGGTTATTAATCCCTTGTCAGATGGGTAGTTTGCAAATGTTTTCTCCCATTCTGTGGGTTGTCTCTTTACTTTGTTGATTGTTTCCTTTGCTCTGCAGAACCTTTTAAACTAGATGAGATCCTATTGGTCCATTTTTGCTTTGGTTGCCTATATTTGTGGGATATCACTGAAGAAACCTTCACCTACTCCAATGTCTTGGAGAGTTTCCCCAATGCTTTCTTCTAGTAGTTTCAGAGCTTCAGGTCATAGGTTAAAATATTTAATCCAATTCAGCTTGATTTTTGTATATGGCATGAAATAAGGCTCTAGTTTCATTCTTCTACATATAGATATCCAGTTTTCCCAGCACTATTGATTGAAGAGACAGTCTTTTTCCCAACATATGTTCTTGGCACCTTTGTCAAAAATGAGTTCACTGTAGATGTATAGATTTGTTTCTGGGTTCTCTAGTCTGTCCCAGTGGTCAATATGTCTGTGTTTATGACAGTACCATGCTGTTTTGATTATGATGTCTCAGTAGCATACTTTGAAGTCAGGTAATGTGATTCCTCCAGTTTTGTTCTTTTTGCTCAGAATAGCTTTGGCTATTTTGTGTCTTTTGTGGTTCCATATAAGTTTTAGGATTGTTTTTTCTATTTCTATGAAGAATCTCATTGGTATTATGATAGAGATTCCATTGAAACTGTAGGATGCTTTTGGTAGTATGGACATTTAAACAATATTCATTTTTCTATTCCATGAACATAGAATATCTTTCCATTCTTTTGTATCCGCTTCAATTTCTTTCATCAATGTTTTATAGTTTTCACTGTAGAGCCCTTTCGTTTCATTGGGTAACTTATTTCCTAGGTATTTTATTTTATTTGTGGCTACTGCAGATGGGATTGCTTCCTTGATTTCTTTTTCAGATTGTTAGCTGTTGGTATACAGACATGCCACTGATTTTTGTATGTTGATTTTGTATCCTGCAGATTTACTGAACTTTTGTATCAGTTCTAACAGATTTTGGTTGGAGTCTTTAGGTTGTTCCAAATACAAGATTATATCATCTGCAAACAAGGGAAATTTGACTTCTTCCTTTCCAATGTATATTTCTTTCTCTTTTCTGATTGCTCTAGCTAGGACTTCCAGTACTAGGTGTTGAAGTCTCCAGCTTTTATTGTATTGGGGTCTACTCCCCCTTTAGCTCTAATAATATTTGCTGTGTAAGTCTGGGTGCTGCAGTGTTGGGTACCTATACATTTGTAATTGTTGTGTACTCTTTCTGAATAAACCCTTTATCATGATACAATCATCTTCTTTGTCTTTTATAGTTTTTGCCTTGAAATCTATTTTGTCTGATATAGGTATAGCTACTCCTGCTTTTTTCTTGTTTCCATTTGCATGGACTCTTTTTCTATTTCTTTCTTTTCACTTTATTAGTTTCTTTATAATTGAAACCTTTTTCTTGTAGGCAAGAGATTGTTGGTTTTTTTCTTTAATCCATTCAGCCACTCTATGTCTTTTGATTGGACAGCTTCATCCATTTACATTCAATATTATTATTGATAAGTAATGACTTACTTCTGTCATTTTGTTGTTTTCCAGTTGTTCTGTTGTCTTCTCTCCTTTCCTTCCTTCCTGTCTTCCTTTTAGTGAATGTAATTTTCTCTGGTGGTATGTTTTAATGTCTTGCTTTTTATTTTTAGTATATCTGTTGTATATATTTTTGAGCTGAACTTGGCAAGAAGCTTTCAAATAATATCTTATAACCCATTTTTTCAAACAGATGACCACTTGACAGTGATTGCACAGAAAATCAAGCAAAGGGAAAACTAGTAAAAAATCTACACTTTAACTTCTTCCCCCTCTGTTTTAACTTTTTCTCGTTTCTATTTATATCTTATTGTACTATGTCTTGAAAAGTTGTCATAGTAGTTATTTTTTATTGGTTCGCCTTTCATCTTTCTACTTGAGTAGTTTATACACCACTTTTACAGTGTTACAGTATTCTGTGTTTTTCTGTGTACTTATTATTACCAGTGAGTTTTGTACCTTCAGATGATTTCTTATGGCTCATTTGCATCCTTTTCTTTCAGATTGAAGAACTCCCTTTAGCATTTCTTGTAGGACAGGTCTGGTGTTATGAAATTCCTCATCTTTTGTTTGTCTGGGAAAGTCTTTATCCTTTATATCTGAAGGATATTTTCACTGAATATACTATTCTAGAATAAAAGTTTTTTTCTTTTCCTTCAGCACTTTAAATATGTCATGCCACTCTCTTCTGGCCTGTAAGGTTTCCACTGATGAGCCTGCTGGCAGACTTATTGGAGCTGCATTGTATGTTATTTTTTTCTTTTCCCTTGCTGCTTTTAGGATTTTTTCTTTATCCTTGACCTTTGAGAGTTTGATTATTGAATGTCTTGAGGTAGTCTTATGTGGATTAAATCTGTTTGGTGTTCTATAACCTTCTTATACTTGAATATTGATATCTTTCTCTAAGATTGGGATGTTCTCTGTTATTATCCAATTGAATAAACTTTCTACCCCATCTCTCTCTCTATCTTCTCCTTAGGCCATTCAGTTAGATTTGACCTTTAAAGGCTGTTTTCTAGATCCTGTATGCATGCTTCATTCTTTCTCCTTTTGTCTCCTCTGACTGTCTATTTTCAAATACCCTGTCTTCAAGATCACTAATTCTTTATTCTACTTAATCAATTCTGCTGTTAGGAGACTGATGCATTCTTCAGTGTGTCAATTACATTGTTTAACTCCAGAATTTTTTCTTCTTAATGATTTCTATCTCTTTTTAAAATTTGTCTGGTAGGACTCTTAATTCCTTCTCTGTATTATCTTGAGTGTCCCCAAGTTCCCTCAAAACAGCTATTTTGAATTTTCCGTCTGAAAACTCATGTGTCTCTGTCTTTCCAGGATTTGTCATTGGTAGCTTATTTTGTTCTTTTTGTGAGGTTATGGATGATCTTGATGCTTGTGGATGTTTGTCAGTGTCAGGGCATTGAAGAGTTAGGTTTATTATAGTCTTCACAGTTTGAGCTGTTTTGTACTCATTCTTCCTGCGAAGGATTTCCAGGCATTTTAAGGGACTTGGGTGTTGTAATTTACAGTTTTAATCTCTGCAGCCAAATCTGCATTAGGGGGCACCCCAAGCCCAGTAACACTGTGGCTCTTGCTGACTCATAAAAGTACCACCTTGATTGTCTAGGATAAGATCCAGAAGAATTCTTTGGATTACCAGGCAAAGACTCTTGTTCTTTTTCCTTACTTTTTCCCAATCTCTGCCCCCTGCTTCCTCCCTCCCTTCCCTCCTTCCCTCTCTCTGCTGAGCTGCCTGGAGCTGAAGGAGGAGTGACGCAAGCCCCCTGTGGCCACCATCACTAGGACCGTGCTGGCTCAGACCTAAAGCCAGCATGGTGCTGGGTCTTGCCCAATGCCTGCTGTAACCACCACCTAGCTACCACCAATGTTCACTCAACACCCTAGGGTTCTACAGTTAGCAGGTGTCAAAGCCAGATAGGCTTATGTTCTTCCCTTCAGGGTGGTGAGCTTCTCCCAGCTCTGGATGTGTCCAGAGATGCCCTCTGGGAGCCAGGGCCTGGAGTCGGCAACTTTAGGAATATACCTGGTGCTCCATTCTACTGTGGCTGAACTGGCACTCCAGCCATAAGACAAAGTCCTTGCTACTCTTCCCTTTCCTCAAACAGAGGAGTCTCTCTCCTAGTGACCATCACCACCCCAGGCCCACAGTGAGTATAGCCTGGGTACTACTGATGTTCAATCAAGGCCTGAGGGCTCTTCAGTCAACTTGTGGTAAATGCTGCCAGGCCTGGGACCTTTCCTCAAGTGAAGTTGCTCCTCTTTTGCCCAGGGCAGGTCCAGAAGTGCTGCTCAAGAGCCAAAGTCTAGAATTGGGGGCCTTAAGAACCCACTTGGTGCTCTATCCCACTGTAGCAGAGCTAGTACCTAAGCTGTAAGACAAAGTCTCTTTTACACTTCCCTCTCTTTTTCTCAAAAGCAGTCTGTCACCATAGCCAGCAAGCTGGGAATGTCCAGGGTCACACCAGAAGCCAGCACATCTCCGAGTCTCACCCAAGTCCCATGGCAAATACTGCCTTGGCACCACTTCTGATAATTCAGGGCCAAGCACTCTTTAGTCAAAAGGTGATGAATCCTTCCTGGAGTGAGTCCTCCCCTTCAAGGCAATGGATTCCCTTCAGGCCCCGGGTGTGTCTAGAAATGTCTGGGAGCTAGGGCCTGGAATGGGTGCCCCAGAAATCTGTCCAGTGCCCTATTCTACTGTGGTTGAGCTGATATCCAAGTTGCAAAGACAATGTTCTCTTTACTCTTTCCTCTCCTCTCCTCAAGCAGGGAGAAGGAGCCTTTCTTGGAACTGTGAGCTGCACTGCCTGGGGTTGAGGGACATGTGATGCAAGCACTTTCTTGACCACCCTAACTGGTATCTTACTAGTCTGAATGTTCCCCAAAACTGCTGGTTCTGAGCCTAAGAATTGCAGTCCTTGTGACCTAGACCGCCTTTTCGGTTTGTTTAGGACCCCAGAGCACTTTAGCCTGCAGGGCTGAGGTTTGCTAGAATTCAGGTACCAATGGCTGGGATGGATGATTCTGGCTAGGGCTGGTCTAAATCCTCCCTCCGTGGGTTTCAGCTGAGTTCTGTCCAGTGTTGCTTTCCACTGTGACAGGGCAGCACTGAGTTCCAATGCAAAGTCCCACATATTCTCTCTCTGTGCCAGGAGGTCGCTGCTGGGGGATGGGGGAGGGTTGGTGTTAGCAATTCAAGACTGTCTTTCCTACCCTCTTCAGTGCCTCTTTTTGTAATATGAAGTTATAACCAAGTGCTGCCATCACTTACCCGATTTTTGGTTCTTACGAAGGTGCTTTTTTGTGTGGATGGTTGTTCAATTTGGTGTTCCTGAGGGGAGGATAATCCTTCAAGCTTTCTATTTAGCCATCTTGCTCTGCCTCTTGCTCCTATATCCTTTTAGTAAAGAAAATTGGATATTTTAATTAGAAGCAACTGATTCCACTGCTAAATTAACATTGCTTGGGTCCACATTTTGCAACACTAAAAAATTCATAGAAATAATTCTTATATTTGTAACTGTACTTAATAGGTGGGAAGATTTTAAAGTGTACAATATTAAACATTGTTTATATGAATATTGGAGATTCTTATTTCAAACATTTTTGTAATGTTTACACTTAAATATCAATCACCAGACAGACTCTTACCAGTGACAACGTTCTTGGGAATTTGTAGGATCCCTTTTTGACCAAAGATGAACCACCAAGGCACTTATAAGCCCTGTGAGCTTGGATAGGAAATGGGAATTTCGGTCAATAACTCTGATGGAGTCACGCCAGCTATTAGCAAGGTAAGCATGTTAAAGAATAAATGACAACCTCCTTTCTGTATTGAATATTTGATAAACAAGTGCAATTCACAGGGCCTCAGTGAACTGATACTGCCTGAGTTCAGTTCAAGAAAATTGTATTCAGCTTCTCCAGCTGTGTTAACTCCTGAGTGTTTGGAGCATTGGCCTACATAATAAGACGTTTTAAGAAATCATTTAAATCCCAGAGTATTGCCAAGAAATTCAAAAGAAATATTAGTATACTGTGTGACATCTTTTGAAAAGGCAATCTTTTATAATTATGGTAAAATTATAGAAAATGTTGATTGATATTATATTGGAAATTTAGGTTTTTGTAGATTGAGTAATGAGATATATAAAATATTTTTTAAGCAAAAAGAAGTTTTTAACTTTTTCTTTTGCACAATAGAAATATCCTTAATGCTTTTGCTTGTTTATCAAAGTAGTACAACATTGTAAAAAATATTGTGTAATACTGATTTTTATGAAGTAGAAAGTGACAGTTCTTCTTTATCTTCAATTCCCTAAAATATCACTGTTATCATTTTGGTGAGTATTCCTCCCAAATTTTAAATATATGTGATTATATTTTTAAATGAGAAATAAACTATATGTCATTTAAAACCTTTAAAAACAATGACAATGTTATGTATATATATTTTCATGTTAACACATATAAAGCTATCTCATCTTTTTAAATAGTTACATGACATTCCATTGTTCCCAGGTAAGAAAACTAGTTTAACCAGTCCCTAGTGATGGACATTTTCTTGTTTCTAGTATCTTAATATTATACTATTAATACGAATGTTGCAGTAAACACTTTATTACAGATTATTGTATATATTCTTGTCTCATTTTTTGCATATATTTTTAAAATGGAATAATTATATTTAAAAATATACATCCCAAATCTATAAAGATATTTTTCAATGTCCTCAAAATATACCAATTTGAACTCTTACCAAACAAGCCTCTTTACTCATTCACCAACACAGGGCAACCAAAAAGGTGAAAGGTATTTTCTTGTATTAATTACAGTTTTTCTATTACGAGTGAGGTTAAGCATCTTTTTCATAATATTTCTTGCCTCTTCTATTTCATTGTAAAAAATCACTACTCTTTTTGTCATTTTCCTACTGGGGAATTCTTTCTTTTTCTTATTGGCTTGTAAAATATTAATTCTGTTTTTTTAAACAGTTTATTCTGTCTTTTGCTAAATAGTTTTAAACTTTTTCATAGCCAAATCTACTTTTTTTCATAGTGGTTTCTGCCTTTGGTATCATGATTCAAAGGGCTTTCCTTCACTAAAATTTGTAAAAGTAGAATCCATATATTCTTAGAGAATTTTTAAGTTTTCTAAACACTTAAATTATGAATCTGCTTTAATTTTGTGTACAATGTTTGTCTTAATGTGCTTGAGCCACCATAACAAAAACTGAGTGACATAAACAGCAAAACTTGATATCCTACAGTTCTGGTGGCTAGAAAGTCCAAGACCAAGGTTTTGGCAGGGTCTGGTTTCTGGTTTGAGCTCTCTTCCTGGCTTGAAGACAGCCACCTTCTCATTATGTCCTCACAAGGCAAAGAGAGAAAGAGAGAGAGAGAGTGACAGACAAGAAAAGTTTTTAATAGGGGTACTAATCTTATGAGAGGCTCACCCTCATGATCTCATCTAAACCTAACCACCTCCCAAAGGCCCCATCTCTAAATACCATCATAATGAGGCTTAGGGCTTTGACATAGGCATTTTGGATAAACACAACTCAATCCGTAGCTGGAACATGACTTAATTTTTTTCCAAGTGGATAGATAATAGACCAAATGTCACCTATTAAATAATTCCACATTTCTGCATACTTTGAGATATCATCTTTATCATAGAGCAAATTTCCATATAGATGTCTATCTGTATCTTATCTCAGTTTTGTTGCATTGCTCTGTTTATCCATTCCTATATTCAGTTTTGTTTTACTTAATACGAGCTTATGGTAAGTTTTTGTAGACTTCTTATTTTTCTATAATTTGTAGCCAGTACCATTCACTTATACTTCCAAATGATTACAGAATCAAGTTACAAAACATACCTTTGGAATTTGGGTTAGAAATAGTTTGAATTTATAAATCAATTTGGAGCAACTTGACATTTATACAACGTTGAGTCTTTCCATCCACAGTCTTTCTGTTCATTCCTTATCTCTTAACTCGTATGTCATCTTTGGTATACTTCAAGAACATTCTATAGTTTTCATTATTCTTAAGGCTCTTGTTGACATCGTGGCTATATTACAGTTTTGTTGTTATTATAAATGTAATTTTTACATTTCCTAATCCTCATATTTGTATTAATATAGATTTATATGTGGAGAAAAATTGCTGAAATTATAGCAGCATAATAAAAATATTATTTCATGTACAATTTCATGGCTGAAAGAACACTGGACTGGGATTCTATTCCCATTCAACAATGAACTTGCTATATGCTTATACTATGTACTTGGTAAAGTTATTTAATTTTACTAGCTCTCAATTTTTGTTTGTATGGCTCAAAATGCAAAATGAAACCCAACTACAGAGATTTCTATACCATATTAGCTGGGTTGCATTATTTAGTTTGACTTACTTATCTATTGTAGGACTGGTCTCCAGGAGGATCAGTGTTTTCAGACTACACCAAACCCCAAACAGTAGATTGGTGGATCCAGATGTACAAGGAATTTAAGAACATCCTTGATTATGATAGGATCTGGATTGTAAGTCTAACCTTATTATTTAAAAATATTTGTCCTTGGTGAAAAAGTGGAGTGTTCATCCACTTGTCTTTTTTCAGCTTTTTTTCCCTCCTAACACTTCAACTTCTATGAGCCCGTCAACATGCAGCCTCCATACCAACTTCGCCACGGAGCCTTCACTGGCACTCTTACTAGAAGTAACTCCTCTTTTCTTTTAGTACAACAAATAAGTATTTATTGAGCACCTACTCTGTGCCAGGAGGCATTAGGGATACACTTAGAAAAACTCTTACCTTCATGGAGCTGACATTTTAGTTGGAGATATAGAAAATAAACAAAATAAGTAAGTAAAACATAGAGTACGTTGGATGATTGTAACTGCCAAAAAGAAAAATTATCTAGGAGGTGGAGTAGGAAGTTTGAAAACTTAAACAAGATTGAAATTTAAATAGGGTGGTCAGAGAAGGTGATAATTGGTAACAAAGGCCAGAGGCTGGACCATGGATATATTTGAGGGAAGAGTATTCACGAAAGGAAAGAGCAAATACAAAAATTCAAAGCAGAACATGCCTGGCATTTTCTAGGAATGGCAAGAAAGCCAGTAGAGCTACAGCAGAGTACTCAGGGGTGACAACCGTAGAGGAAAAGGTCACAGAGATATAGAGGCAGCATTGCAGACCATTGCAAGATCTTTGGCTTTTGCTCTGAGTGAAATAGAAAACCACTGGTGGGTTTTAAGCAAAAGTTTTAAAAGGATCGCTCTGGTTGCTATATTGAGAATAGACTATAGGGAGCAAAAACAGTGTGAAGACAGAGGTGAATCCAGGTTTTGTTAAAGCTTTCTACAATTTGAACAACTCTGTTTAAGAAAAAATATTTAAAAATTACAAATGGAAAATTAGGCATACAATTATGGAGGAGGTCACGCAAAAAGCAGTCATGAAACTTCAACTTTATTAGCTTCCAGATAAATCCATTTCAGGTCCCTATTGAAAAGAGAGGCAAATTAAGTAGATGCTATTACAACAGTCCAGGCAAAAGAAAATGGTGGTGGCCTGAGATAGTGGCAACAGAGTGAATGACATGTGGTCAGATTCTGCATGTATTTTAAATATAGAATTAACAGGATTGGTTGACAGATTAGATGGTGAGCTTCAAGAAAAAGAAATTAAAAATGATGTATGTCCATAGCCACTGGAAAATTTGAATTGCCATTCACAGAACAGAAATGGGTGGTATCTATTCTTGTGCAATGACATTTATAGCTTTGTGAAACTGTTGCTAATTTGCCAGTGTATGCTACTCAAGACCAGGGACACAATGTTGTTTATTGCCATGCCTCATAGAGCTTCTAACTTACCATCTCACACATTTAGATAATCAAAATATATCTGTTGAATGAGTGATCTTTATCTGTTCTGTTACCTCAATGGGAAGTAAGAAAACTATGCCCATTATTACTCATTGAGTTTCTATTTTTATGTAAGGATATGAATGAACCAGCCAATTTTGGGACAGGCCAATACCCAAGATGTGAAGAGAATACTCTAAACTACCCACCCTATGTACCTGGTAAATACACTGAAAATGCCAAATGGTTTTGAAGCATTTTCACATCCTGTAAGGAAAAGTCTCCTTACTGCTGTCAGTTTGTCTTAGGAAAATATAAACTCAGCAATAAGTAGTTCATAGCTCACCAATCTAAAAATAATCCAGAAAACTCAGAATACCTATGTGTGCCTACTGTACTCCTTCAGTGGGAAGGCCTTGGAATGTCTGAGAATTGTGTCCTTACTTGTCTAGGGAGGAACCAGAGATTCTCTTCATAGACTGTCCTTCCAAGGAGGCAGGTTATGGTGTTGCAGCTGACTCTTAGATGACTGAATTCTTCCCTTTGGCTACAAGGTGTGTTCACTTTAGTTTCCATAATTTTTGCTATTTCTGTAACTAGTCTACAATAAAAAATGCTACAAGATGGAAAAGTCATGAAAATTTAATTGAGAAGTAGAGTTTTGCAGTCAGAGTAAAAGAGGCTTACCCTTGGCTGAAGATTTCAACTTTGAGTGATTATAGTCCTTCATTTACATTTCCTTTGCAATTACAGCCATTTTCATCTGCAGTGATTCAGTTCCCAGTGAAACCTTAAAAAAAAGAGAAAAGCAAAATACGATAAAATTCAGTTCAGAGAACTGGTGTTCCATAAAGTCCTGCTTACCTTCCTTGAATCCTGGAGACAAGGACCCCTCCTCCACATTTTACTTGTTAGGCAAAAGAAATGGTGTGAAATTATTATTTCCTCTTTTATCATTGTCTGAAATATCTAAATGAAAATATCAAGTAGGCAGCAAGATATGTAGGTCTAGAGAGAAGTCATATGGGCTTGAGATTAAAAAAAAAAACCCACTGGGAATTAGATGCATAAAAATGGCATCTAAACCCAAAGGGATGGATGATTCAATGTACTAAGAATGACAGAGTATTAAAAAGTAAAATCAACAAGTGGGCCTCCCAATTCTGAGTTCTAAGTGAACCTGCACCCCAACATTAAGACTTTGTATAGAATAAAATATACAGCTAGGAAAACCAAACTGATGCAATTGGATAGGGAGGAAGAATGGCAGGAATACATGACTCAGCTGAGAAGACTGCATAGTCATTTCTATCAGATGCTGCCAAATAGCAAATACAATGAGTGGAGACTGTGTGTAGAGTTCAGCAATATAAAGATTGACAATATTCGTTTCAATGGAGTAGTGGGAATGGATATCAAACTGAAGTCAGTTCAAAAGTGAAAGGAAGGTGAGAAAGTAGAGACAGAGGTTCTTATTGTTGCTGGAAGAAGAAAATGTGTACAGATGCATATAGATGGAAGGATTCAGTTTTTACAATTTTTCATCAGTGGGAGTGATATGGGGAATGCGATTGAATTTGGGGAGTAAGAAGTTTGAAGAGAGAATTCACTTTCAAAAAGTGAATTTTTGTAAGAAGCATAGCGGGATTCTCCGGTGGTATTGAGAATTCATTTGAGGTTTGCATTCTTGAAGCAAAGGATGAAGAAGAATAGAGAGAAGGAAATTTAGGTTTTTGGATTTGAAAATGTCAGTGTTGCTCTCTGAACTGTATTTGATCAAAATGTCAGGGAGTCCATGAAGTCACACGCAATAACTTCAGCAATAAGACACCCGTGTCCTATAGTACACAGTAGTATAGAAACATTTGCCCAGAAAGTCAGCTCACATTACACAGGAACATGACAACATGATACAGAGAATAAGCATGGGCATTAGTGTCACAATGGCTCCCAGTCCTGGCTCAAGCACTTCCTTTTCTTATGAATTCAGAAAAGGTCTTTCACTTCTTTTGACTGTAGAACAGGGAATATGAATACTATTTACAAGTTAAGGATTTAAAATATTATATGTCAGAGTGACTGACATACAGTAAGTGTACATAAGATAGCTACTACTGTATCTATTACAAACAATTTGGGAGGACTTACATGTAACTCCAAATACTTGGAAAAACACTGCAAATAAGCAACTAATATAGCCAATGATTATTATAACAATTTTCCATCATCTTCAGTCTTGAGAGTATGAAGACAATTGTCTATCAAAGCGAATCCTCATTTTTGCCTTGATTGGAATAATTATTTCACAAGTGATAGTCTAGTGCTTAGCTACCTTATTTCTGGTTCATATTCTTTTAAGGAACAAATCTATCACTATGTGAAACTTAGAAAAAAAAAGGAAAGAGGATGAATCAAAGAAGAAAGAGAATGTTAATGCCAATTTGGAACATGAAAGAAAGAAACAAGGCCAGTTAAGCTCCCAGATGCATTATTTCTAAAACAGATTTTTGTAAAAGGTTCTGAAGAAATCTGTTTGCAGTCAGGGTGAGTGTCACCAAGATACTGAGCCTAAAGACTATAAAGACCTGATGCAGCCTCCCATGAATATTCCTATTCCCCATGCTATTTTTAAACAATATTAAAATTTTTTTCTCTCTTTTACAATACAACCATCTAAGATTTTTACTGTTTTGTGTAATCTCTTTGACTGGTAACTGTTTCTGATTGTATAAAGTTAGGCATTTGAGATAATTAGGAGTTATATTCTGGTTAAAGTACAGGAGTTCTATAATTAACTGCTGGATTTCAGTGGGTAATTATCTAGATTTGTAAATTTTTTCTTCCTGGCTGAGCAGGCTGGCTCTATTATGACATAGTTAATGCTTAAAACGTTTTCTCAGAAGTGAAAGAATATGATGAGGTAGCTGCCTTCATCTACAGGGGGTAAGAAAATTATTACACAGTGTCTAGATTCCTGTGTCATGGTTTTACATGTACTACAAATGGCTTTAACATGAACTGAGCTAAGTATGTAGTTAAATTTAAACCATAACTGATACCCAAGGTAAGGTGACTCAGGTGTTCTTTACATACCAAAAAATCATGAAGCGTTTCATTAGACTTATTCCCAAATATGTAGATTTTGAGGTCAAATGTCAAGAGGCCCTACAGCTCTTTAGAAACATGTTCTCTTCTAAATTATAACAGGTTGGGGGAAAAGTTTATGGTAGAAACAGTAATGCTTGAAATGGACGAAATTCTCCCTTCTCCTCTTTCCAAGGAGACCAGCCCTTTGGCATCTTATGTGTCTTCAAAATGTATCATAAATTCAGCTTAAAGTGATACTAATGTCTCAATTTTATTGATACATATCCAAAAGAGAGGCAAACATTTCAAGGCAGCAAAACCAGTACTAGAATTAGATTTTCTTGTCTATTAGACTCTAATCCTTGCTACCGTGTTGAACAAAATGCAGTTTAAAAAGTCATAAAAGCTGAAATTCATGATTCCAAAGGAAAAAGCCAAGAAATAGAAAAATAAGGGGAGGACAGCTTCCAGTGTGAATCCCTACAATGGAACACGTTAAAAGTGGTATATGAAGAGATGTCTTTGAGTAGACTTGTTTAGGTCAAGCTTTTGTGATATGTACTGGTTATGTTTTGAGAGATATGATTTAACACTGGGAATCTTTGGATCTAGGTACAAAGGAGATACATGGATGAGAGGCTTTTGGAATTCTGCCACTCTTGTTTGAATATTAGGCACATGTCCAAGGCTCATGCTTTCCTAGCAGCACAGCTGCTGGAGGCATATCATCTCTAGCCACATACAGTACTTGACCTCTTCCACTGCAAGGTAAGAGTGGGTCTATTGAAAGACAAGTGTTTGACCAGAGGTTGCAAGTTCTGCTTCAGTGCTGCATGTTTTATAGATTTTAGCACAGAACATATCTTTTTTTTTTTCTATTTTTGAGGCAGGGTTTCACTCTGTCACACAGGCTAGAGTGCAATAGCATAATCATAGCTCACTGCAGCCTCGATCTCCTGGGCTCAAATAATCCTCCCACCTTAGCCTTCTGAGTAGCTGGAACCACAGGCCCACAGGTCCACTCACCACCATACCTGGATAACTTTTGTATTTATTTATTTATTTATTTATTTTTTGTAGAGACAGGGTTTTACTAGACTGCCCAGTCTAGTCTAGAACTCCTAGGCTCAAGAGATCCACCCAACTAGGACTCAGCCTCCCTAACTGCTGGGATTACAGGCGTGAGCCACTGCATCCAGCCCAACGTACCCTTTTCATCTTGGTCTTTCTGCAACCTCTCCTTTCCCACATTGCAGTTTTTATACTCATAGTAATCTTGAGGACTGTTGAAAATATATAAGAAATGTCTTCATATTTTAGGACCTTGTGTATAGTAGGATGCTATTAGTGTGATTAAGATCCTACAGAATATGATTTAGTCCTATCTGTAATCTAATCGACATCCAACTCATTTCAAGTGTTTAGCACAGAGATGAAGAATGGGGAGTTATTACGAAGAGGAGTTGAATTTCAATTTCAAAAAAGTACAGCAGTTAGGGACGCTAGGCATATACTAAGAAACAGTTCATGAAATATAGGTAGGCCTTGGAGATATTGTGGGTTAGGTTCCAAACCACTGCAATAAAGCAAATATCACAATAAAGAGAGCCACATGAATTTTTTTGTTTTCCAGAGCATACAAAAGTTATGTTTACACTATACTATAGGTTATGAAGTATGCAATAGTGTTATGTCTAAAAAAATAAGTTATTAATTAACAACACTTTATTGCTAAAAAAATGCTATCATCTGAACCTTCATAAAGTTGTAATCTTTTTGCTGGTCTTGCTTCAAGGTTGATGGCTGCTGACTGATCAAGGTGGTGGTTGCTGAAGGTTGGGGTGGCTGTGGCAATTTCTTAAATAAGACAACAATGAAGTTTTCCATATTAATTTATTCTTCCTTTCACAAAAGATTTCTCTGTAACCTGTGATACTGTTTGATAGCATTTTACCCATACGAGAACTTCTTTCAAAATTGGAGTAGTCAACCCTCTCAAACCCTGCTACTGCTTTATCAACTAGGTTTGTGTAATATTCTAAATCCTTTCTTATCATGTCAACAATGTTTCCAGCATGTTCACCAAGAGTAGATTATATCTCAAGAAACTACTTTCTTTGCTCATCCATAAGAAGCAACATCTCATCCATTCAAGTTTGATCATGAGATTGCATCAATTTAGTCACACCTTCAGGCTCCACTTCTAATTCTAGTTTTTGTTTTTAGCACCATATCTGTGGTTATTTCTGCCACTGATGTCTTGAACCCCTCAATGTCATCCATGAGGATTGGAATTAACTTATTCCAAACTCCTATTAATGTTGATATCTTGACCTTCTCCCATGAATCACAAATATTCTTACTAGAGTCTAGAATGGGGGGTCCAGAAGTCTTTCAATTTACTTTGCCCAGATCCAGCAGAGGAATCACAATCTATAGAAGCTATAACTATGAAATGTACTCTTTCAATAAGAAGATTTGAAAGTTGAAATCACTCCTTGATCCATGGGCTCAAGAATAGATGTTGTGTTAGCAGGCATGAAAAACAACATTAATCTTCTTGTATATCTTCATCGGAGGTCTTGGGTGACCAGGTGCATTATCAATGAGCAGTAATATTTTGAAAGAAATCTTTTTTTCTGAGAAGTTGGTCTCAGCAGCTTGAAATAGTAAGTCATGCTGTAAACAGATGTGCTCTCATCCAGGCTTTGTTGTTCCATTTACAGAGCAGATTTAGCATAGAGTAGATTTAGAGTAGATTTTGCAAAATTCTTAAGGGCTCTAGGGTTTTTGAAATGGGAAATGAGAATTAGCTTCAACTTAAAGTCACCAGCTCATTAAGTCCTAACAAGAGTCAGCCTGTGCTTTGAAGCTTTGAAGCCAAGCATTGATTTCTCCTCTTTAGCTGTGAAAGTCCTAGATGACATCTTCTTCCAACAGAAAATTGGAAAATAGAAGACTGAAAATCTATTGTTTGATGAATCTACCTTTATCAATTACCTTAGGTATATCTTCTGTATAACTTGCTGCAGCTTCTCCATCAGCACTTGATGCTTCACCTTACACTTTTATGTTATGAAGATGACTTATTTCCTTAAATCTTCTCTGCTGGCTTCAAACTTTTCTTCTGCAGCTTCTTCACCTCGCTCAGCCTTCAGAGAATTGAAGAGAGTTAGGGCCTTGCTCTGGAATAGGGTTTGACTTAAGGGAATGTTGTGGCTGGTTTGATCTTGTATCCAGATTTCTCACATTTCTCAAATATCAACAATAAAGCTGTTTAGCTTTCTTATCATTCATGTGTTCACTGGAGTAACAATTCTAATATCCTTCATAAACTTTTCCTTTGCGTTTACACATTGGCTAACTGTTTGGCACAAGAGGCCTAGCATTTGGCCTGTATCAGCATTTGACTTGCCTTTCTCACTAAGCTAAATCATTTCAAGCTTTTGATTTAAAGTGAGAGATGTGTGACTCATCCTTTCACTTGAATATTTAGAGGACATTGTAGGGCCATTAATTGGCCAAATTTCAATATTACCATGTCTCAAGGAATAGGGAGACCTAAGGAGAGGGAGAGAAAAGGGGGAATAGCTGGTCAGTGGGTCAGAACACCCACAACATTTATCGATTAAGTTTGCTCTCTTATATAGGCACGGCTTGTGGTACCCCCAAATAATTACAATACTAACATCAAAGACCCCTGATCACAAATCACCATAACAGATGTAATAATAATGAAAATGTTTGAAATATTATGAGAATTACCAAAATGTGACTGAGACATGACATGAGCACATGCTGTTGGAAAAATGGCACCAGTAGACTTGCTCCATGCAGGGTTGCCATAAACCTTCAATTTGTAAAAAATGCAGTATCTACAAAGCAAGGTGCAATAAAATAAGGTATACCTGTATAAGGTAATAGTATTAAATTCCAGAGAAAACAGTACATCTGTGTACGTTTAGCAAACTATTTTAAAAGAAGTTAGGCTGGGCGTGGTGGCTCATGCCTGTAATCCCAGTACTTTGAGAAGCTGAGGCGGGCAAATCACGAGGTCAAGAGTTCGAGACCATCCTGGCCAACATGGTGAAACCCCATCTCTACTAAAAATACAAAAATTAGCTCAGTGTGGTGGTGCACTTCCAGCTACTTGGGAGGCTGAGGCAGGAGTATCACTTGAACCCGGGAGGCAGAGGTTGCAGTGAGCCGAGATCATGCCACTGCACTCCAGCCTGGTGATAGAGCGAGACTCCATCTCAAAAAAAAAAAAAAAAAAAAGTTATACTGAATGCAAAGACTTTTTTCAAATTTTTTATGTTCAACTTAAAATTGTATATATTTATGGTACAGAACATGATGTTTTGTTATATCTACACAATGTGGAATAACTAAGTCACAATAATTAATATATCCATTACCCTACATATTTATTTTTTGTAGTGAAAACATTTAAAATCTCCTAGTAATTTCAAGTAGATAATACATTGTTATTAACTATATTTGGCATGTTTTACAATAGATCTGAATTTATTCTTCTTGTCTAACTAAAATTTTGTACCATTTGAAAAACATCTCCTCAATTCCCCACCAGCCCCTGGGAATCACCATTCTACTCTCCGCTTCTATGAGTTTGACCTTTTAAGATTCTGCTTTAAAGTGAAATCATGTGGTATTTATTTTCCTGTGTCTGTCTTATTTCAGTTAGCACAATGTCATCCAGATTCTGTTCACTTGAGAAGGGTGCTTCCCAACTCTGAGAGGGGCAACCACAAACTACTTCTCACTTGCCCTGTAATTGGTACCATGCCATCAGTAAGAATACTTAGAATTCTTGCAGATTACTCAGTAGGAATACTTAGAAGTCATTAATAGGAATAAGTAGGAATTACATCAGTAGGAATACTTAGAACTCTTGCAGGTTAATCATGCAGGTTAGTTTTCTGTTTCTGCCATAACAAATTTACCACAAATGTAGTCGCTGAAAAACAGCATGAATTTATTATTATCATACAGTTGTGTAAGTTAGGAATCTGACATGAGGCTCACTGGATGAAAATCAAGGTACTGGCAGAACTGCCTTTCTTTCTGGAAGCTCTGGGGGAGAAACCCTTTACTCTCCTTTCCAGCTCCCACACTCCTTGGCTCATGGCCCCTTTCCTTGACTTCAAAGTCAGCAATGTTTTTTGTATCTCTCTCTGACCTTCTTTCAGCTTCACATCTTTCTGAACATAACTGGGAAAGGTTTCATTCTTTTAAGGATTCATGTTTTTGGATTGCACCCACCTGGATAATCCAGGATATTCTTCCTATCTCAGAGGTCTTAATTTTTTTTTAAAAAAAATTGACACATAATAATTGTACATATTTATAGGGTATAAAGTGATGTTTCAGTACCTACAATGCATAATGATTAGATCAGCATAATTAGCATATCCATCATCTCAAACATGTATCATTTCTTTGTGTTGGAAACATTCAATATGCTCTTCCAGGTGTTTGAAAATGTATAATATATTATTGTTAACTCTAGTCATCCTACAGTGCTATGAAATGCTAGAATCCATTCATCCTATCTAGCTGTAATTTTGTGTCCTTTAACAAATCTCTCCCTATCCCCTATCTCCTCCTACTCTTCTCAGCCTCTAGTAACCTCTGTTTTACTTTTTACTTCTGTGAGATCAACCTTCTCTTAGCTTTAGCATGTGAGTGAGAGCATGTAGTGTTTATCAAAGTTCTTAATCTTTATCTCATCAGCAAAATTCCTTTTGCCATAGAAAGTAACATTCACAGGTTCCAAGGATTGGACATGAACAATTTTGAGAACTATTGTTCTGCATACCACACCATGACCACAAAGCTTTATTACTATCTAGTCTTCTTTTGCTTAATTTTGACTCAGTAGACTTTATTCTTACTTTGGTTCCAAATTGTGCACAAACCTTTTCTCAACCAGTTTACCACATTTTTTGGATTCGATAATGTTTACCAAATTTCTCCTCAATCTTTTCCTACTAAGTCTGATCACTTCATCACTCGTTAAACTCTGTGGATTTCATAAGACTCCATTCTAATCTAAATCATGGCTATATGGGAAGTATTGCATTACTTTATTTCCTTTAAAACAAATCAAATCTGTTAGCCCCTATCTCAGGTGTAAAAACCTTTCTCAGTTGCTACTGCAGTACTCCTCTTTCTACTCTCAGTGTCATGCCAAGATTGTTTCAGGCAGAGAAAAGCTATTTGAGAAAGGTGTTTGAGTCTTTGTTTCTGTGGAGATGGAAGCCCAATTGTTCAAACCCAAAGTCTGCCAAAATTCTTGTCCTTCTATTATTTCTTTTAGTGCATGTGGGACATCTTTGTAGGGCTCAGGAACCTTGTAGTCTACAGATACAGATAGTCTCCTGAGGTGCTCTACATATTCATTTTCCTTTAAATGTCCTTTCTTTTCTCTAGGGTATTGGGAGTGTAGACTCAAGGCTGAGCACCAAATCTCTATCTCCTCCTAATGCCTTAAAGCTAATACCCCCTACTCTAGCCTTGGTGAATTTGCCTCTTTTCCCTCGTGGCCTTCATATGCAAGCCCCTTTGTCTTGTACCCCCTCACATAATTTCCTTAAAAAGATTAGATTTCTGGAGGTAAAACCTGGAGATAAATTAGTCTGCTGAGACCTACTGCTTTTCAGAGAGCCTTCACAAACATCTGTTGAAATAAAGGGGACATCCTGAAACATCTTGAAACAATGGGGAGAAAAAGTACTGCTAAAATGAAACACAAGTTAATAATTTCATAAACCATTTCTTCATGCTACAGTTTACTTGCTAGTACAGATTTATGTCACTCCAGGACTGATCTTATTAGTTCTCTAGCTAGATGTGCACAGCAGCTTCCCTCCAAGTTGCAATAAGTGCCTCGAGGTTAGACTTCATAATTTTAGGATAAACAAATAAATAGAATCCTAGTAGGCAGGTTGAGACTATACTTAAAAGGTCTACATTGTACAGACTGTGTAAATTAGGAAATATTTGTATTTCATATAATTCATATTCATATTTATATTTAATATAAATATAAGTAATGTTTATTAATAATATAATAAACTATAAAGTAGTAATATGAAAATATATATTATTTATACTAATTATTTCATTTAATTCTCACAACATACCACTGAAGTAAGAATTGCTAGAACCATTTTCCAGATGAAGAAACTGAGGCTCGTGAAGTACCTTACTCAAGGTCACAGTGTTAGTAAATGACTGTGCCAGGACTTAAGCTCTATGAAGATCTGGGCTTTTACCACCAGGCTGTGCTGCTCATAGCGCAGTGTACTAACCAGTGGACTTCAATCTGGAGGTCCAAGCTGAGTAGAACTGTCACATAAGTAGGAGTTTAGATTTAAAGCTGACACTCAAAATTGAACTTTCATCTTTGGAGTTTGTTTGACAGAATTCAACACCAGCAGGCAGAGAGGTACACACACGCCAGTCTTGTGTTTGTCTGTAATCTGTAGTCAGTTTGAAAACCTCTCAAACTCATTGTCATTTTATTTTATTCAAATAATGTGGAAGATTATAAAGCAGGACAAAAAGGCAAATCCTTTTCATGCTTCCCTTTGCATTACAGTGACTATTGTTAATATTCTATACAGCCTAAGGCATGGGGAAAAATAATTTTCCAATCAAAGGCAAAGTTTTCTCTAAACTTAAATAAAATGATAAAAGTTGCTACATTTAAAAATAACTTTCTTTTTACAAGGACCTTGAAGAATATATTCTTACAGAGTATATCTTTTAATAGTTTTTCTGAATTATTCCCCTAGTTTTCACGTTTTAGACTTTTATGCAGCAATTTTTTTCTTACTCATCTTGCTTCAGCTACGTAATGCAAATATATTTCAGAGATAGGTATTGTATTTTTATGTGTGCGATTTGTTATGATATTATAAATCTATATATATTTTGGAAGGTGCTGTGCCCACAGGGTACAAGACACTATTCTTGATTATTTACATCTCTTTCACTTTTGAAAGAAATGGAAAAGCAGAAGGGGATGGGCTAATCCCTACTGTGAATAGTTTTTAGGAAGCAAGGATTAATCTCCAGCCCTTTATCTTATTTGTTTCAACACTCAGTTAATTTAGAAGGAGAAGTCCCTTCTTGTCCTAATCTCTCCTTTCCAGAAAGTTCCAGGTTCTGCCAACAGTAGATAAAACCTTTATTCCTTTCTGTGTGTATGCAGAAGCAACGATTCTTACAGCAGGAAGGAAACATTAGTGGTACCTAGCATTTTTCCTACATTGCAATAACACTGCTGTAATTTTTTCTACAGTTGCAAAGTCTTCTATTCTTAAAAATTTTCAGGAAGAAAATCATTATTTGGTCTGGTAATATTTTTCTTATACTTAACATAATCTTTGTGTACTATACACCTATTTCCTCTCATTCAGTTATTTGTAGGAATGGGAGATAATTTCCTAGTTATTGTGCTCTCTGTAGGAATCCTTTATATGCTTGCTAAAGAATCATTCATTTGGAAAATATTTCTTGATCGCTTCCTATCTGTTACGCACAGTACAAGATGCTAGACACCTACCATCTACCCTCACTATCAATGGGGCAGGACAAACATACCTAAAAGACAGCTGTCTCTAGAAAGCTGACAGTCTAGTGAAGGTGACCAACATGTAAACATACAGTCAAATATAATCAGAGATTTCCAGGTGATAATGGCAAAATAAAACTACACTCAGAATCTTCCATTTACTGCATCCCATTTCATTCAGTAATTAATGAAATTTTTGAAAATGGGAAAAAGCAAAATTTATCAGTAGCAACCAAAAAAGGAAAGGGAATTCCTTCTTAAGCCTTTACCTTCAAAAGTGGCAGAGGATATCACAGCGTGGATTCTTTAGAAAATAGAGACTGAGGCAAAGTTTATCTGGTAAATGCTGTTTTGATGGGGAAGGAATCAATGCTAAGCAGAAGGGTAAGGAAGAGAGGGAAATGAGGCTGGGAAGAAAAGGAACCATCATTCTCAGCAAACTAACGCAAGGACAAAAAACCAAACACCGCATGTTCTCACTCATAGGTGGGAATTGAACAATGAGAACATATGGGCACAGGAAGGGGAACATCACACACCGGGGACTGTTGTGGGGTGGGGGGAGGGGGGAGGGATAGCATTAGGAGATATACCTAATGCTAAATGACAAGTTAATGGGTGCAGCACACCAACATGGCACATGTATACATATGTAACAAACCTGCACGTTGTGCACACGTACCCTAAAACTTAAAGTATAATAATAATAAAAATAAAAAAAACATTATTTGAACCACTAAAAAAAAAAAGAAAAGGAACCAAATGCAAGGTGGCATGTTAACCTGTTGCTCAGTCATCTCAATTTTTATCAAAGTGGTGAGTGTGAAATGTCAACTCTGTATGTATTTAATTTGCATATTTCTGATTATAAATGAGACTAAGCATGTTTCCTCTTTGTTAGCTTTTTAGGTTTTATCGACTGGTTCAAGTGTTTTCCCCATTTTTCTGTTGGGACGTGAGCTTTCTTATACTGATTTTTTGGTTATATGTATTAAAATATCTCCGATAATTTCTGGCTTATATTTTCATGCTCTTTTTAGTATCTCTTGTTGAACACAGGTTCTTAACTAAAATATTGTCAAATTTACCAATCCTTTTCTTTAACAATTTGTAACAATATTTTTGAAGCTGTGGTCATAAAGATATATTATTTTAAAAGTATTTTATAATTTTGCCCTTTCACATTTGGGCCTTTAATCTAGTTCGAGTTGATTTTGAGAAGTATGTGATAACAATATAAATTCATTTTTTTCTATGTGGAGAAAGAATTGTCCCAGAACCAATGAAAAGTCTATCCTTTTCCCCCAGTGATCTGCACTACTTATTTTTTCTCGTGATAGGTATCCATGTGTGCTATGTGTTGCTTCTACACTACTTTTTCTGTTCATTGGTTCATTTTTCTTTCCCTTAACCAATTTGATACTGCTTTAATTTCTAATGATTTATAATAAGTCATCAAAAAGGGTAGAAAATAGGTCTTCCCACCTTGGCCTTCTTTAAGAGTATTTTGGCTGTTGTTGCCATTAAATCCATATAACAATTTGGAAAGAATCAATATCTTCTTCATACAGTTTCCAAAGATATGGTATTGTTCATCCTGTATTTGTCTTTAAAATTACTTTTCATAAAAGTTTATAATTTCTTTATGAAGTTTTTGACTCATTTGGTTAATCATATTTCTAGATTCTCTATATTTGGATGCTATTTTAAAGGCCCTCTTTTAAGGCTTTCACTTACTATTTGTTGCTGATTTATGGAATGTAATTGTGTTTTTATATTGATTTTTTACCAGGAAAACTTGCTATACTGTCATATTAATTATCATAATTTATCTGATGACATTTTAAGATATTTTTGGGTAGAGTCTTATCTGTGAATGATCCATAGAATTGGTTCCCATTCTAACTTTTTCACTTTTTTTTTGTTTTTTTGCTTGACTTATTCCTAGGTGAGAACTCGAGTTCAGGATTGAATAAAAGTGGTGACAGCAGGCACTCTCTTGTTCCCAATCTCAATTAACTGTTTTTTGTTTTGTTTTGTTTAAATTTTAGAGGCAGAGTGTCACTCTACTGCCTAGGCTGGAGTGCAGTGGAGCGATCATAGCTAACTGCAGCCTTGAATTCCTGGGCTCAAGAAATTCTCTCATCTTGGCATCCCAGGGTTAGGATTACAGGCGTGAGCCACTGCACCTGGCTGAAGTGTTTTTAATATTTCACAGTAATGTATGAAATGTACTATAGATATTTTTGTAGCTAATCTTAATAAGGTTAAGAAAATTTTATTTTATTTTATTACTATTTAAGAAATTTTTTATCAATAATCAAGTTGAATTTATCACTTTTTTATATCTCTTGAGATAGTTATATTCTTCTTTTAAAATATATTAATATATGAATCATGTTGCTTGATTTTTTTAATGATAAATTAGTTTTATATTTCTGAGATAAATGCACCTTTGTCTTGATACTAATATTCAACTACGTCTCAAATTCAGGATACAATTTAAAATTTTTGTCATGTCAGGGTAACACTGTTTTCATTAATTAAAAAGACATTTATTGTTCCCAAAGAGCTCATAGACTAGTGAAGGTAACCAACATGCAAATAGATGAATAAAATACAATGATATTTAGATTATGTTAAGTATGCATATTTATTTTGTTTCATCCTTAGATATCACAGGTAGACTTTTGGCTCAGAAACATCATGCCCTGATTCCAAGACTTTTCTGGGATATCATTATGACACACATTTTCTGGCTGGTCACAAGCAGCACTTACTTTCTACTGCGTAGCTTGTAAATCTTCTTGAAATGTTCTTGATGTTTTAATACCCAAAAATTATTATTAAAATACCATTTAAGAAATAGGGAAAAAATTGTTTACAGTAGATGTTACATTTTGTTATATCATTTCTTAATTTGTTAAGGACTAGTAAACAATCTTCCTTTTCTAAGGTTTTATCTTGCTGATTTTACAAGTATTTCTAACAACCTATTTAAACAGCACAGAAGCAGAGTAAAATGGCCTTAATAGAAGCACAAAAACTTGTCTAAGACAGGCAAAAATCGAATCTAAATTTCAGATAAGTGGTGGAGGAAACAGAATTTTGGAACAATTTTATAATGTAGGATGTAATTGTTAACAAATGCTACAGTTTTAAAGGTTATGTGCACTAATGTTGCCTTTATCTTGCTTCGACTAAATTATCACTTATACTATTAGCTCTGAATAGAGCCATTTTTAAACCTGATTAAATATTGATGTGTAAAGTCCCTACCATTAGAGTCATAAGTCAGGATTTATGCATGTTGTTACACTGAGTGCAGTACACTCCAAGCTTGGCAGACAAAACCTTTTCCCTCCTGGAGTTAACAATCCCAGATCTTGAAGCAACTTATCCGTGACCACCTGATTCATGCTGTTCCTCTAATGAGGGTTTACTGTGTTGCATTATTTCTGTCTTTTCCTGTGTGTGTCTACTAGGAGACTCTCCTAGCCTGCATTAGTAAAAATGGGTTTATGGGCTCAGGGATAGAACACTGTGTTTCCATTTACTGCATCCTTGTCTGTTTAAAACAGGTTTTCATTTCAATTCAGGTTTATTACAGTACTTTGACAAGATGTCATAAACATGGGTAAAATATATATGATTGATAGAATCAGCCTGTCTGATTTACAGAGTGAGTTCTCAGAAATACTAGTTTTAAGGTATGAGAATCAAGATAGAACTGCTTATTTAGGTCATATCCAAGTATATGCCATTTTCATGTTTTGGAATAGAGCCATTTTTCTAGACCATTACATTCAGGAAATGTCGTGAAATTTGTTTGGTGAAAATAATAGATAATTACAGAGCTAAAGATGAACATGAGACATTTAACCGGGCTCTCTTAACTACTACTGAAAAATTCATAGGTTTTGATTTGACCGAAAACAAAATATACAAACTATCTAGTAAACTTGATGGACAAAGTTCTGAACATATATTTTTAAAATATGGCAATTAAATATATCTGCCAAAATATTACTCATGGACTGGTAAAAAAGAAGTTACCTTTAATATAAAAGTAATAATACATTAGAAAAATAGAATCATATGTCAAGGCTATAAAACAGAGAGTGGTTTATAGCTACTTTAGGTTCATTTATCCTATTTTAATAAGGATTCTAGATGTCTAGTCAGTTCTTCAGACTTTAGAATGTACCACACACACCTAGGTCCTAGGTCCATGAAACTGCTACTTGTATCTAACTCATAAAGAAGTTTAAGCAAGGGGGAGAAAGGGAAGGGGGAGGGATAGAAGAGGAAAAAGTTTAGACATGTATTTCTTTTCCGTGTTGAGAGATACATATCTGAACACTTTTCATTCTCTGAGATAAAGTGAACATGACTTCCAAATTCTGAACTTCACTAAAATCAAACAATGAACATTTTTCCTGAAGGACGTAACCATTTTAAATGGAAGCACTAGCAAGATTCACCTTGATAAGGCAATAGGAGTGTCTACTGAATTTATTAGTAGAGCTTCTATCATTCAATGTCATCAATCAATGCAACTTTTCTTTTTTTTCTCATTATTTTATCCTTGAGAGACAGAATAATTGGTCCTGAAGTTCTGGGTAAATAATGGCTAAAAATGAGATTCAAGTTGTTTAGCTAGGATGAAGTAGATTTGCAGCTGTAACTGCTCAGCACAATTTACTTGTTAAGTGCTGTTGTGATATATATATATTCTTTTAAACATTACAGCAGTCCTGTGAAGTTAAGTATTATTAGCTTCATTTTATAGTTGTTAAGTAAGTTGCTCAAAGTTACAAATATTTTTCATGGAAGAGATAATGGAGTTTAAACTTGATCTGTAGATTGCAATGCCCATTTCAATTTTTTCTTGATTTATTGGTTTGTAATCCCAGCACTTTGCGAGGCCGAGGCAGGCGGATCACGAGGTCAGGAGATCGAGACCATCCTGGCTAACACAGTGAAACCCCATCTCTACTAAAAACACAAAAACTTAGCTGGGCGTGGTGGCGGGCGCCTGTAGTCCCAGGTACTCGGGAGGCTGAGGCAGGAGAATGGCATGAACCCGGGAGGTGGAGGTTGCAGTGAGCCGAGATTGCGCCACTGCACTCCAGCCTGGGCAACAGAGCGAGACTATCTCAAAAAAAAAAAAAAAAAAAAAAAAAAGGCCAAATATACAAGTTAAATTCAAACAAAAAATAACCAAAGTAAAACTTAAAATAATGCTGCTAAAATAGGTAAACATGTAAAGATTCACTAGGTAAATATAATCAATTATCAAAAGAAAATTACTAGCATTTCCAACATTAGTATAACAGGCACCATGGCTGCCATATTAGAATCACACAGAATTTTTAAAAATGCTGATTTCCAAGTCCCAGCCCTAGATATTTTGATTTAATTGATTAGGAATGGAGCCTTGGCATTTTTTTTTAAGCTTCTAGAAATTTCTAACATAAAACCATGGTTGAAAACCCCTGAACTATAGCATAACTTACAAGAAGAGTTTAGTGCAAGAAAATTTGGTTTGGATACTTAGCATTGGCTTTTAACAGCTTTTTTTCTCCATAAAATGTGTATAATAGCTTAAATATAACTTCCTTTTTATTTATTTCTTCCATTTCATGTTCACACAGATTTATACTTTTGATAAAATGTTTGAATTACATGAATATTAGGGAATCATTAATATATTTTAAAACCATGTGTTTCGTTAGTGAAAAAAAAAGGATCATTTTAGAATAATATTAAAGACAACTTTTCTGATGTTTCCTCCAGGGCTTCTCAGAATGCTACAAAAAAGCAAGCATTTTTTTGAGTCATTCAACATTTATTGGGAGTGGGAAGTACCCTGGCCATTGGCTGGGTGATGACTTCTCATGTTGGAGAGACATGCATTTGTCAATCATTGGAATGCTAGAATGTAATCTCTTTGGAATTCCATATGTAAGTCTGTTTGTTTGTTTGTTTGTTTTTTTAGATGGAGTCTCTCTCTGTCGCTCAGGCTAGAGTGCAGTGGCGTGATCTCAGCTCACTGCAACCTCTGCCTCATGGGTTCAAGTGATTCTCCTGCCTCAGCCTCCCGAGTAGCTGTGATTACAGGCACATACTGCCACGCCTGGCTAATTTTTTTGTATTTTTAGTAGAGATGGGGTTTCACCGTGTTAGCCAGGATGGCCTCAATCTCCTGACCTCATGATCTGCCCACCTCGGTCTCCCAAAGTGCTGGGATTACAGGCGTGAGCCACCGCACCCGGCCCATATGTAAGTTTTAAAATTAAATGAGTAGATTACATATTTTCAGGACATTACAAATAATACACTTCATTTTGTCACTGTAGAAATTCTTTTAACCTGTGTAGATCTCAGGAGTACCGCATCTTTCTAAATTATTTTTTGTTCTTTTTGTCTTAAGTCACTAAAGTACTTGGTCATGGTAAAACTGGTAAAGTTTATCTCCTCTGCCACTCATTTCTCCCCCTACCATATCCATGATTCTTCTACAACCTATTATTTTAAAACACATAGATAATGGGGAAAAAAGAAGGACAGATAATTTGGATAGAAAATTCATGCCAGGGGTGTCTCCATCTCCTATGAAAGGAGGAAGTGCAAAGAAGCTAACAAAATGCTTTAAATACACAGTAAAATACTCCCTTATCTGAGCTCTAGTGATAAATAAACAATTGAACTATTAAATAATTTGCTGCTATGTTACTAAATCAGAACATTTTATCATAACAGTTTTTCCATATCTCAATGACATTTTAAAATAAAAGTATAGAGCATTATTTGCCTTATTTTGGAAAGCTACAAATATAATGATCTACTCTGAAATTTAGCAAGAATTGCATTTGTTGTTCAAGTGATGCATTAGCTACATTCAAAGAAGAATTGCTAAATATTGACAAAGAAATATAGCTTTAAGTTGTGTATGGATCAGAAAACGACAGAAGCCAAACTTTTAATAAGCAGCTTCAGAGAGAAAGGTAACATGAACTGTTTTTTTCTCCAGAGAAGGCCTTATAATTTAGTGGAGCACACAGTACAACCTCTGTCGTTTGAAGAACATTTTTATCGTAATCAACACATTTTATGACTCCATGCTGTACTTCTTCATGACTTTTTAACCTATAAGCCTTGACATTAACCACAGCTTTGGGGTTAAAGGTTGTATTTCTGAGAGAACAAGAAGAGCTCTGAAATAAAACAATTTGAGCACCGTGAGAGGCCATCATTAGATGTCAGGAAGCAAAGTATCTGTAATCTGTGATTTACAAAGAGAGTATAGTCAGGTGCAATAATCCTGTGCCCTTTTGTCCCAGCTTGAGTAGTCAACTACTAAGGCTCTTGTGTTAGCTAAACACATTGTGAAAATTCTGTCTTTTAGTTTATATTGAGACAGGAAATTTACAGCACTGCACTTGAAAATAAGCATTTTAATGTAAATTGGATTACCCAAAAGACTCCCTGCTTGTACCACGATGTAGCCCACAGTTTTCTTTCAATCAAGGCTGCATAAGCAGGACTTGTCACTATTTTATTCCATACACTCTTCTCAAAGAAGACATTTACACTGTCAGATTATATGTGAATATGATATCCTTGTGGTCTTAAACATATTTGTCAATTCAAAATAGTGTAACCTGAAAAATTTCAGAGTGGTTTTCTTGACAAAATTAATGACTGATATATTTTGAAGTCGATAAATTTTTCCCCAGGTAGGAGCTGATATATGTGGGTTTAATGAAGAGACAACTTATGAACTTTGCCTGCATTGGATGCAATTTGGGGCCTTCTATCCCTTTTCCAGAAACAATAAGGCCATTGGAAATAAGGCAAGTGACAGTCAATTTAAAATAACTGCCATGCTCAGTATTAATCTGTAATTAGAAACTTGGGTTAGAAAAAAATGTATACAATCATTAACATATGAATAAAAATCGAACTGTTCTTTGACAGCTTTCAAAAATATGTGATTTTTTTTGAAAAAATATTTTGCATGTCATTCATTTTATCAAGAACTGTGAGAGAGAATGCCAAGAAATATATTTTGGAGAAATAGCTTTTCTAAAATTGTTTTTGAAAATGCATTGTTTATAATTTCTACAAGAGGGAGCATATTACATCATTTAAAATAAGCTGTGAAAAATCTTTCACTTTATGACACAGGTAGCAACATACAAATGTATGATATTTGAAATTATCCTCAGCAGCCCAGTAATTGACCAAATTACAAGACTTTGTTTTGATGGCAGGCAGATTATAGTGTGATCTTGTGCAAGATTCTCTCTTCAGTCTGAAGGCAGAATTATTTCTCAGTCAAATGACTGTGAAGTCCCCCACTCCCTTAAAGAGAAGTTACAGTAATTCTATTGAGAAATTATTTGAGGCTTTGCTGGGAGCTGGGCATAGAGACTATATAGTACACATTACAATATATGAACTTTGTAGAGTACATTTAATTGAGAAACAACTCTGTAATAATCTACCTTGGTGAAAGGCTTTCAAGTAGAGAGAAATAATATTCAATAATATTGAAATAATATTCAAAAATTGTCTGCTTCTCCTTAACACCCCCAAAAAGAAAAAAAAAAGCTTTACAAATTAACACTTTAGTTAATAAGTGTGTTAAAATGTTGCTTTTTAATAGGAACAAGATCCTGGAGTGTTTGGAGAAGAGTTTGTTGCAATTTCTCATTCTCCATTAAGGATTAGATACTTATTTCTGCCGTACTTTTTTTTTTTTTTTTTTGAGATGAAGTCTCACTCTGTCGCCCAGGCTGGAGTGCAGTGGTTGCAGTGGTGCCATCTCGGCTCACTGCAACCTCCACCTCTTGGGTTCAAGCCATTGTCCTGCCTCAGCCTCCTGAGTAGCTGAGATAACAGGTGCGCACCACCATGCCCGGTTAATTTTTGTATTTTTAGTAGAGACAGGGTTTCACCACGTTGATCAGGCTGATCTCAAACTCATGACCTTGTGATCCGCCTGCCTTAGCCTCCTAAAGTGCTAGGATCACAGGCATGAGCCACTGAGCCCGGCCTATTGCTGCCTTACTAATACACCCTTTTCTACCATTCTCATGTCAGGGGACATACAGTGGTCAGAGGATTGATGCATGAGTAAGTAATATTTAATAGTTACTCAGGTCTTAGATTTTCTACCATTTAGATCCTGTAAGTCTGAGTTTTTCTACTAAGGCAATTGTTTTGGAGGTTAAAAATGAGAAAATCAGTTTTTCTCTTCTGACTATGATTACAAATGATTTACAAATTTGGAGAATTTAGTTAAGAAAACAACCAATTATCAAAAAGGGAAGGCTGTATCTTGTTGTCTAAATAGTGTGTGTAATATATAAAAAGATGAAATGATTCTTTTCCACAGAGAACTGGGAGGATTATAACAAATTTGGGAAAAAAATGATTACAATGTAGAACATTATATATTTATATCCTGAGTGTGTGGCACAAGCTATAGAATGCGGTAAAATTTCAAAGAAAGGTAAGGTTAACATGAAAATAGGAATAGCTCTGTGTAGAAGGGGGGATTGATGCTGAATACTTGAAGGATGTTCAGGGTGCAAAAAGGTGCAACAACAACAAAAACATAGACAATTTAATTACTTGACACTATTTTGACCTTAGCTTTAATACCTAATTATCTTTGGGTGAGGGAAGACAATTGATGCCAGTTACTTCACTTGATGACTAGATTTTTATTTCTAAAACACTGCTTGTACCCCAGAACTTTCCCTGTTTTTACTGTTTTGGTCATTTTGGTATTGATCACTATGAACAAAAGTTGGTTGAGTAAAACTGTAATTAATTATACAAAGACGTAAGTTTGATTAAAGTAATGGGTTTTCATTCTAAAAGTCTAGATTTCCATCAGATCCTAAAACCCATGAAATTGACAGAGCATTTCTTTGGGGGCAGCTTTGATGATTGTCCATTTCTTGAAGAGGTAAGTACTAGAATTTTATATCAGCACAATATAGCTATTTAAAGCAATTTACACAGTTGCCATTTTTGACTTACAACCAGTCTAGAAAACAATGGTTGAAAACAATGTAAAATATACTCATGTATGTCAAAGATCAGATGGTTGTAGATGTCTGGTGTTATTTCTGAGGACTCTCTTCTGTTCCATTGGTCTATGTATCTGTTTTGGTACCAGTACCATACTGTTTTGGTTACTGTAGCCTTGTAGTATAGTTGTTTTGGTTACTGTAGCCTTGTAGTATAGTTCAAAGTCAGGAAGCATGATTGCTCCAGCTTTGTTCTTTTTGCTTAGGATTGTCTTGGCTATGTGGGCTCATTTTTGGGTCCATATGATGTTTAAAGTAGTTTTTTCCATTTCTGTGAAGAAAGTCAATGGTAGCTTGATAGGGATAACATTGAATCTATAAATTACTTTGGGAAGTATGGCCATTTTCATGCTATTGATTCTTCCTATCCATGAGCATGGAGTGTTCTTCCATTTGTTTGTGTCCTCTTTTATTTCGTTGAGCAGTAGTTTGTAGTTCTCCTCGAAGAGGTCCTTCACATCCCTTGTAAGTTGGATTCCTAGGTATTTTATTCTCTTAGTAGCAACTGTGAATGGGAGTTCACTCATGATTTTGCTCTCTGTCTGTTATTGGTGTATAGAAATGCTTGTGATTTTTGCACATTGATTTTGTATCCTGAGACTTTGCTGAGGTTGCTTATCAGCTTAAGGAGATTTGGGGCTGAGACAATGGGGTTTTCTAGATATACAATCATGTCATCTGCAAACAGGGACAATTTGACTTCCTCTTTTTCTAATTGAATGCCCTTTATTTCCTTCTCCTGCCTAATTGCCCTGGCCAGAACTTCCAACACTATGTTGAATAGGAGTGGTGAGAGAGGGCATCCCTGTCTTGTGCCAGTTTTCAAAGGGAATGCTTCCAGTTTTTGCCCATTCAGTATGATATTGGCTGTGGGTTTGTCATAGATAGCTCTTATTATTTTGAGATATGTCCCATCAATACCTAATTTATTGAGAGTTTTTAGCATGAAGGGCTGTTGGATTTTGTCAAAGGCCTTTTCTGCATCTATTGAGATAATCATGTGGTTTTTGTCTTTGGTTCTGTTTATATGCCGGATTACATTTATTGATTTGCATATATTGAACCAGCCTTACATCCCAGGGATGAAGCCCACTTGATCATGGTGGATAAGCTTTTTGATGTGCTGCTGGATTTGGTTTGCCAGTATTTTATTGAGGATTTTTGCATCAATGTTCATCAAGGATATTGGTCTAAAATTCTCTTTTTTGGTTGTGTCTCTGCCCGGCTTTGGTATCAGGATGATGCTGGCCTCATAAAATGAGTTAAGAAGGATTCCCTCTTTTTCTATTGATTGGAATAGTTTCAGAAGGAATGGTACCAGCTCCTCCTTGCACCTCTGGTAGCATTCGGCTGTGAATCCATCTGGTCCTGGACTTTTTTTGGCTGGTAAGCTATTGATTATTGCCACAATTTCAGAGCCTGTTATTGGTCTATTCAGGGATTCAACTTCTTCCTGGTTTAGTCTTGGGAGGGTGTATGTGTCGAGGAATTTATCCATTTCTTCTAGATTTTCTAGTTTATTTGTGTAGAGGTGTTTGTAGTATTCTCTGATGGTAGTTTGTATTTCTGTGGGATCGGTGGTGATATCCCCTTTATCATTTTTTATTGCGTCTATTTGATTCTTCTCTCTTTTCTTCTTTATTAGTCTTGCTAGTGGTCTATCAATTTTGTTGATATTTTCAAAAAACCAGCTCCTGGATTCATTAATTTTTTGAAGGGTTTTTTGTGTCTCAATTTCCTTCAGTTCTGCTCTGATTTTAGTTATTTCTTGCCTTCTGCTAGCTTTTGAATGTGTTTGCTCTTGCTTTTCTAGTTCTTTTAATTGTGATGTTAGGGTGTCAATTTTGGATCTTTCCTGCTTTCTCTTGTGGGCATTTAGTGCTATAAATTGCCCTCTACACACTGCTTTGAATGTGTCCCAGAGATTCTGGTATGTTGTGTCTTTGTTCTCGTTGGTTTCAAAGAACATCTTTATTTCTGCCTTCATTTCATTATGTACCCAGTAGTCATTCAGGAGCAGGTTGTTCAGTTTCCATGTAGTTGAGTGGTTTTGAGTGAGTTTCTTAATCCTGAGTTCTAGTTTGATTGCACTGTGGTCTGAGAGACAGTTTGTTATAATTTCTGTTCTTTTACATTTGCTGAGGAGAGCTTTACTTCCAACTATGTGGTCAATTTTGGAATAGGTGTGGTGTGATGCTGAAAAAAATGTATATTCTGTTGATTTGGGGTGGAGAGTTCTGCAGATGTCTATTAGGTCCGCTTGGTGCAGAGCTGAGTTCAATTCCTGGGTATCCTTTTTAACTTTCTGTCTTGTTGATCTGTCTAATGTTGACAGTGGGGTGTTAAAGTCTCCCATTATTATTGTGTGGGAGTCTAAGTCTCTTTGTAGGTCACTAAGGACTTGCTTTATGAATCTGGGTGCTCCTGTATTGGGTGCATATGTATTTAGGATAGTTAGCTCTTCTTGTTGAATTGATCCATTTACCATTATGTAATGGCCTTCTTTGTCTCTTTTGATCTTTGTTGGTTGAAAGTCTGTTTTATCAGAGACTAGGATTGCAACCCCTGCCTTTTTTTGTTTTCCATTTGCTTGGTAGATCTTCCTCCATCCCTTTATTTTGAGCCTATGTGTGTCTCTGAACGTTAGATGGGATTCCTGAATACAAAACACTGATGGGTCTTGACTCTTTATCCAATTTGCCAGTCTGTGTCTTTTAACTGGAGCATTTAGCCCATTTACATTTAAAGTTAGGATTGTTATGTGTGAATTTGGTCCTGTCATTATGATGTTAGCTGGTTATTTTGCTCATTAGTTGATGCAGTTTCTTCCTAGCATCGATGGTCTTTACATTTTGGCATGTTTTTGCAGTGGCTGGTACTGGTTGTTCCTTTCCATGTTTAGTGCTTCCTTCAGGAGCTCCTTTAGGGCAGGCCTGGTGGTGACAAAATCTCTCAGCATTTGCTTGTCTGTAAAGGATTTTATTTCTCCTTCACTTATGAAGCTTAGTTTGGCTGGATATGAAATTCTGGGTTGAAAATTCTTTTCTTTAAGAATGTTGAATATTGGCCCCCACTCTCTTCTGGCTTGTAGAGTTTCTGCTGAGAGATCCGCTGTTAGTCTGATGGGCTTCCCTTTGTGGGTAACCTGACCTTTCTCTCTGGCTGCCCTTAACATTTTTTCCTTCATTTCAACTTTGGTGAATCTGACAATTATGTGTCTTGGAGTTGCTCTTCTCGAGGAGTATCTTTGTGGTGTTCTCTGTATTTCCTGAATCTGAATGTTGGCCTGCCTTGCTAGATTGGGGACGTTCTCCTGGATAATATCCTGCATAGTGTTTTCCAACTTGGTTCCATTCTCCCTGTCACTTTCAGGTACACCAATCAGACATAGATTTGGTCTTTTCACATAGTCCCATATTTCTTGGAGGCTTTGTTCATTTCTTTTTATTCTTTTTTCTCTAAACTTCCCTTCCCGCTTCATTGCATTCATTTCATCTTCCATCACTGATACCCTTTCTTCCAGTTGATCGCATCGGCTCCTGGGGCTGCTGTATTCTTCATGTAGTTCTTGAGCCTTGGCTTTCAGCTCCATCAGGTCCTTTAAGGACGTCTCTGCATTGGTTATTCTAGGTATCCATTCGTCTAATTTTTTTTCAAAGTTTTTAACTTCTTTGCCATTCATTTTAATTTCCTCCTGTAGCTCGGAGTAGTTTGATCATCTGAAGCCTTCTTCTCTCAACTTGTCAAAGTCATTCTCCATCCAGCTTTGTTCCATTGCTGGTGAGGAGCTGCATTCCTTTGGAGGAGGAGAGGCACACTGCTTTTTAGAGTTTCCAGTTTTTCTGCTCTGTTTTTTCCCCATCTTTGTGGTTTTATCTACTTTTGGTCTTTGATGATGGTGATGTACAGATGGGTTTTTGGTGTGGGTGTCCTTTCTGTTTGTTAGTTTTCCTTCTAACAGACAGGACCCTCAGCTGCAGGTCGGTTGGAGTTTGCTGGAGGTCCACTTCAGATGCTGTTTGTCTGGGTTTCAGCAGCGGTGGCTGCAGAAGAGCGGTGGCTGTAGAACAGCGGATATTGGTGATCCGCAAATGCTGCTGCCTGATTGTTCCTCTGGAAGTTTTGTCTCAGAGGAGTACCCAGCTGTGTGAGGTGTCAGTCTGTCTCTACTGGGGGGTGCCTCCCAGTTAGGCTGCTCGGGGGTCAGGGACCCATTTGAGGCGGCAGTCTGCCCGTTCTCAGATCTCCAGCTGCATGCTGGGAGAACCACTGCTGTCTTCAAAGTCGTCAGACAGGGACATTTAAGTCTGAAGAGGTTACTGCTGTCTTTTTGTTTGTCTGTGCCCTGTCCCCAGAGGTGGAGCCTACAGAGGCAGGCAGGCCTCCTTGAGCTGTGGTGAGCTCCACCCAGTTCGAGCTTCCTGGATGCTTTGTTTGCCTAATGAAGCCTGGGCAATAGCAGGCGCCCCTCCCCCAGCCTCACTGCCACCTTACAGTTTTATCTCAGACTGCTGTGCTAGCAATCAGTGAGACTCCGTGGGTGTAGGACCCTCCAAGCCAGGTGCGGGATATAATCTGGTGTGCCATTTTTTAAGCCTATTGGAAAAGCGCAGTATTAGGGTGGGAGTGACCCGATTTTCCAGGTGCCATCTGTCACCCCTTTCTTTGACTAGGAAAGGGAACTCCCTGACTCCTTGCACTTCCCGAGTGAGGCAATGCCTCACCCTGCTTCGGCTCGCACACGGTGCGCTGCACCCACTGTCCTGCACCCACTGTCTGGCACTCCCTAGTGAGATGAAACCAGTACCTCAGATGGAAATGCAGAAATCACCTGTCTTCTGCATCACTCACGCTGGGAGCTGTAGACCTGAGGTGTTCATATTCGGCCATCTTCCTCTTTTGCCAATTTAACAGCAAGGAAGTCTACATGAAGAACATCAGTAGCTTCATATAACCTTTCCTAATCAAAACCAAAATTCCTGATTCAATATTGCTTTTTCCTTCTCCTCCAGATAGTTGTCTTACCCATTCTTTAATCACAAAGGAGCATATTGATCATGTTAGGTTACAAAACAAGTATTAACAAATTTAAGAAGATTGAAATTGCACCAAGTATCTTCTTGTATTATAATGGAATGAATCTAGAAATTAATAGCAGAAGGAAAATTGGAAAATTGTAAATATGTGAAAATTAAACAACACATTTTTCAACAATCAGTGGGTCAAATAAGAAATCAAAGGGCAAATTAGAAGATATTTTAAGATATGGTATAATTTCAATCTTCTTAAATTTGTTAATATTTGTTTTGTAAGCTAACATGTAATCTATCCTAGAGAATGCTCTATGTATGCTTGAGAATAATGGGTATTCTCCAGCTGTTGGGTGGAATGCTCTGTAAATGTCTGTTAGGTTCATGTTGTCTATAATGTTGTTAAATGTTTTCTTTGTTGATTTTCTGTCTAATTGTTCTATGTATTATAAAAAGCAGGGGTATTGGGGTCTCCTATTGTGTTTTTGGCTTCAAAGTCTATTTTATCTGATATAAGTATAGCTACTTCTGCACTCTTTTTGTTGCCATTTGTTTGAAATATCTTTTTCCATCCCTTCATTTTCAATCTTCGATTGATTTCCTTAAATCTAAAGTAAGTTTCTTGTAGATAGCATATAGTTGGATCTTGTTTATTCATTCAGCCACTCTCTGTCTTCTGATTGAAGAGTTTAATTCATTTATATTTATAGTAATTATTGATAGGGAAAAATTTACTATTGACATTTTAATTTTTTTTGTCTTACATTCATTTGGTCCCTTTTTTTTCTTGTGATCTTTCTTTGTGTTTCTAGAATTTTATAGAAATTCAATAATTTCTATAATTTTTTGTAGTTATTTTTAAGAATTATTTTTTCTCTCCCTACCTCTCCTTTTTTTGTTACTTTTATAGGTATTTTACTTTTGATTATCATAGGCCTTACATAAAATATAATAGCCTATTTTAAGCTAACAACTTAACTTCATTCACATAGAAAAAGCCTGTGGTTATTAATTCCCATCCACACTTCATGTTATTGATAATACAGTTTACATCCATTTATATTGTGTATGCATAAACATACTTTGTAGTTGTAGTTACTTTTAATACTTTTGTCTTTTGACTCTTATACTAACAAGTAATTTCTTCAACACCATTACAATAATAGTTTTCTATATTTGTCTATATATTTACCTTTACTGACAAGTTTTATAATTTATTATGCTGTGTTGCTTTTCAATGCCTTTTTACTTCAACTAGAAGACATCTCTTTAGCATTTCTTCTAAGGCAGATGTAGTGGTAGTGAATTTCTTCATCTTTTGTTTATATGGAAGAGTCTATGTCTCTTTATTTTTTTGAAGAATGCTTTTGCTGAATATAGTATTCTTGGTTGGCAGCTTTTTTAAACTTTTTTTCTTTCAATAGTTTAAATAATTCATTCCACTCTTTTTTGGCCTATATTTCTGCTGAAAAATCTGCTGATAGTTTTACAGGTATTCACTTATATGTGGCAAGTTGCTTTTCTCTTGCTGTTTTCAACATTCTGCCCTTGACTTTTGATAATTTCGTTATAAAGTGTCTTGACGTGGGTTACTTTAGGTTCATCTTCTTTTGGATTCTTTAGGCTTTCTGGATCTGTATTTCCACTTCCTTTTCTAGATAAGAAGTTTCAGCAATTATTTTTTTGATCATGCTTTCTGATCCTTTCTCTCTCATACTTCTTCTAAGACTCACATTACACATATATTGGTTGCTCGATGGTATTCCATAAGTCTCTTAAGCTTTCTTTACCCTTTTTCATTCTTTGTTCTCTTTGCTTCTCTGACTGAATACTTTCCAATGACCTGTCTTCGTATTTACGAATTCTTTCTTCTGCTTAATGTAGTCTCCTATTGAATCCCTTTAGTTAATATTTCATTTAGTTCTAATGTTCTCCAGCTTTATTATTTCTATTTGGTACTTTTTATATTTTTTATTTCTTTGTTGAAATTCTCACTTTCTTCATGCATTGTTCTCCTGATCTTGGTAAGCCTCTTTATAAGGATTATTTTAAATCTCTGTCAGGTAGATTTCATAACTGTTTTATTAGAGTTGATTTCCAGAAATTTGTCTTGTTCTTTAAAACATGTTTCTCTGTTTCTTTTTTCTTTTTTGACTTTCTGTGTTGGTGTCTGCACATCAGACAAAACAGTCATCTTTCTTATTCATCATGTGACTGGCCTTCTGTAGGAGAAGACCCTCACCCATCAGCATGGACAGATTCTAGTGGCCTCTCCATTCCTGAGGGATCTGCCCCCACAACCCAAACATCTCCTATTAAACCCCACCTCCAATACTGGGGATCACATTTCAGCATGAGATTTGGAGGGGACAAACATTCAAACTATATCAATAATCATTTCATATTTTATATTTTTCCATAACTGTATGATAATTGTCATTGAATTAAAATGCCAAAAAATAATTGCATGGTATGTAATAATCTATATCTACATTTTGAGACATTAATCTTTTGAAATATAGCAAATTTAGTTTTTTAGAAAACATTATGAATATTATATGTTAAAATTCCGTAATATAGACATGAAATATATTTTCTGATAGAACATAAATATTTCATGTAGATTCTCCAGCCCTACTGCATAATCTTGTATGAATTCACTAGGACTTGGTTTGAATGCCAACTAATATAAGATTAAATATGTGTACAGCCTAATTCATTTTAACTGGAATATTTTAATTCAACAGAATAATTTTAAAAGTCAAATATTTCCTTTTTTCCAAAGGGGAAAGATCTGTGTATGTGTATTTTCCTGAAGCAACTTGGTTTGACTCAGTATATGCTTTATAGATATTTTATAGAAAAAAATAAATTCATTAAACTGGAGATTTTTTATTGTTTTTATATGACCTCTAGAGCCTTGGGCTGTGTAATTCTGATGACTTGGCTCTTTGTGAAGCCTTATGTTTAGAATTGCTTACTCTTCTCAAAATAGTGGAATTGGCCATATATAGATCAGCAAATATTTAAGATAAAAGATGCGGTAATTTTTTTTTTTAGAAGCAGACTGGACTTGCTTATTTCATGCAAACATTTAAATTCTTAAGAGCAAATGGGGCCAGGCACAGTGGCTCATACCTGTAATCCCAATGACTCTGAGGTCAAGGGAGGAGGATTGCTTGATGCCAGGAGTTCATGACCAGCCTAAGCAACATAGTGAGATACTGAGTCTAGAGCCAATTTAAAAAACCAAACCAAACCAAACTGAACAACACAAAAACCCAAACATTAGACAGGCATGGTGGCATGCACCTTTAGTCCTAGCTACTCAGGAGGCTTGAGTGTTTGAGGCTGCTAGTGAGCTATTATCATGCCACCAAACTCTGGCCTGGACTGGAGTCCAGAGTGAGATCCCAATTCTAAAATAAATAAATAAATTATTAAGAACAAATGAATCCCTGCAGTGAGGTTTCTTTATAGTAGAGTGTAATAGAGATTACATATAATCCATAAGACAGGTACTTTATCTTGCAAAAAAACAGAAATCCATTCCAACTAGCTTGAGTATGAGGTTTATAGTAGGGATATAGGTGAACTGACCAAAGAAATCTCATGGAAATTCAAGAACAGCAACTATGACAGTGCTGGATTTTATGGAGAATTCCAGGGTCAATTGCAAGAGTTGGTGAAATTTCAGCCTGGTGTTGTGCCATTCCCAGGGCTCAGCATTCCATTGAACTGTTTTGTTTTACTAATAACTGGTTTGCAAAGGGGCCTCAGCTTGTCATGAACTCTTCAGCCTTAGTGAGGCAGGTGAATACGGTCTGGAGGCAGGGAACCTAAAGCTGTTCATGCTGACTTCCTAGAACTATGAAAGGAAAACCCTAACTTTCCATGCCTAAGTAACAAAAGGACCAGAGGCTACTACTCCCTTTGACCTTTTCTGCAGCACATGAAAAATTGGCTGTCAGCGACAAATCAGACTGATTGCAGGTCCAGTCTTCGTTTGCAACTTTGTAACTTCACTCCAGCCTCTGAATGGTTGCTGTCCACAACCAGTCAGACTGACTGTGGGCCAGTCTTCGTTTGCATAGAAGTATAACTTTGTAACTTCCCCCTAGCCTCTGATTGGTTGCTTTTTGCAACTAATCAGATATTTGCACAGGAGTGTGACTTTTGTAACTTCACTTCAGCCTCTGATTGTCTGCTTTCTGCAACCAGACTGATTGCAGACTACTACTTCATTTACATGAGGTGAGCATGAAGTGGCCAATAGGAAACTTCTAGGGTAACAGAAGTAGGAAGGTGGCCAATAGGAAACTTCTAGGGTAACAGAACTTCTATGGAGCATTTGAACCCAAGAAGATTCTGTATCCGGGCCCTTGAGCCACTGCTCGGGTCCGCTCCCACACTGTGGAGTGTACTTTCGTTTTCAATAAATCCCTGCTTTCGTTCTTTTGTTGCTTCATTCTTTCCGTGCTTTGCTGAGTGTTTTGTCCAATTTTTTGTTCAAAACACCAAGAACTTGGACAACTCACAGTCGGGACCCTCTATCAGTTACACTAACAGGAGACTTTTATATTTATACAGCTTTTGTGCTTCTGTGATAAGTGGCAGGCTCTCTCCATATTTTGTAGTTCAAATTACTCCCAAAATGTAATATTATCCATCCAACTCATCTTTTCATCCAAGATATACCTAGTCTCTTAGGCAGTGGGAGTTACAGTTGTGATGATCAAGGAAGGTATGGACTGTGAGAGACAAGTAATGTGTCATCTCTAACATAGAACTTTCATTTGAACTAATGAGTTCATTTCTCCCATTCTTTTAGTGTGGTTTGATGAACATTGACTAATCTTCCCCAGAAATTTTTCAACAAATTTTTATGGGAATGAGTTTTGACTATAAATATAGGACTAATCTCAAATTGGAAGCAAAGATATGTGACCTTTTTTTTTTTTTTTCTTTTGAGAGACCAAGTCTCATTCTGTTACCCATGCTGGAGTGCAGTGCCTTGATTTCGGCTCACTGCAACCTCCGCCTCCTGGGTTCAAGTGATTCTCGTGTCTCAACCTCCAGAGTCATTGGGTCTACAGGCGTGAGCCACCATGCCTGGCTAATTTTTGTATTTTTAGTGGAAATGGGGTTTTACCATGTTGGCCAGGCTGGTCTCAAACTCCTGACCACAGGTGATCCACCCCCCTCGGCCTCCCAAAGTGCTGGGATTACAGGTGTGAGCCACTGCACCCAGCCATGACCTATTTTTAAATTACCAATTAATTATGACTAATTATAAATATTATTATATTAAATTTTAACACTTTTTAGTATGTAGGGGTGGTTATAAAGTTAAATTTTTGAAAAAGTATATACTATTTTAATAAATGCTACTGTAATGTGTTTTACATATTGGAGTTTGTATGTTTTTTTTTTTTTAAGCAATGATTAGACATTTCAAACCACCCTTCCTGTTAGTGAGTTCTATGGATGATTTGTGGAATTTAAGTAGAAGTTTGGATTTCAATTTCCCATGTCTCTTGAAATGTATGACTTCTTACCAGTTATATAATTGGAACAGTTAACTCTGGCTTGTTCTATGCTGGGGCAGTCAAATACTACCTTCTTGGCAGAAGAAGTTTGTTGAAGTTCCTGCTCCTCTAAATGTAATTCCCCTTTTCTTTCTTTCTTTTTTTTTTTTTTTTTTGAGAAAAAAAAAAAAAGGAATGAAAGTTCCAGCCTGGAGGGCAGTGGCAGTCTCCACTCACTGCAACCTCCGCCTCTCAGGTTCAAGCGATTCTCCTGCCTCAGCCTCCCGAGTAGCTGGGATTACAGGCACCCACCAACATGCCTGGCTAATTTTTAGTAGAGACGGGGTTTCACCATGTTGGCCAGGCTGGTCTTGAACTCCTGACCTTGTGATCCACCCGCCTTGGCCTCCCAAAGTACTGGGATTACAGGTGTGAGCCACCAATTCCTCTTTTCGTTCGTGGAGGATACATTCTACCTAAACAGTTTCCAGTCAGAACAACAACGCTCAGGTAATAGGCACATCCTGTCTGGAGACTTCACAGGGAGTATGATCAACCCTCCTATTTGCAGAGTGTCCAAGGAGGGGGTGTTGTGAGTAGGGGGCCAGCAACAAGAGATTGGCACAATCAGTAGTACAATTAATTGTCTATTTGTGAATTTATACCTGTGTCTGTGCACATGTGTGTTTATGTGAGAGAGAGAAAGCAAAGAGGAAGAGAAGAAAAAAAGGAGTGAGAGAAGTCAGTAGATAATTTTCTGCTTGAGCATTTGATTCAGTTCTAAGCTATCCTTCTCTAAATATATGCCTATCATCATTTTTAAGTTGCTAGTGACTTCAGATACACAAAGTCTCTCCAAGATTTTATGTATAAACTAGATCAGGTCCCAGAGCTTTTTTTCCCACCTAGGTTATATTTGATTAATCATTTTTGTTCCATAAATATCACATAATCAAAGACTTTGTCAAGCAAATAAACAGATTTTTTTAAAAAACAATAATTTGCTCATATTTCTATTTTACATCAACGATACATAATAGCAACTCAGAACTTTTAATCAACATTAATTAAAAATAAAAATCAGTTAAAATTATACATCGTTAGAGAGTTTTGACCAGACATTTAAAAATATTGAGTGCACACTGTCCAGCCTGGGCAACATGGCAAAACCCCATCCCTACAAAAAATACAAAAAATTAGCTGGGCATGGTGGTGCTCTCCTGTAGTCCCAGCTACTTGGGGTACTTGGGAGGCTGATGTGGGAGGATCGCTTGAGCTTGGGATTCTATGATCGCGCCACTGCACTCCAGCCTGGGTGACAGAGCGAGACCCTGTCTTTAAAAAAAAAGTGCTCGGAGGAGCCCAGAACCAGGTACTAGAAGTAGATCCATAGCTTTTAAAGACTAACTTGCATAATAAATCCATTTGAACTTCAAGTTATTATATTATTCTTTGCCAAGAAGAGCAGGTATCATGTCTAACTTTCATTTCAATAGGAAGCATATAATGACACAAGTTATTTTATATGAAACCAAAACATTTTTCTTTTTTTTTTTTTTTTTTTTCCGAGATGGAGTCTCCTCTGTCACCCAGGCTGGAGTGCAGTGGCGCGATCTCGGCTCACTGTAAGCTCCGCCTCCCGGGTTCACACCATTCTCCTGCCTCAGCCTCCCGAGTAGCTGGGACTACAGGTGCCTGCCACCATGCCTGGATAATTTTTTTGTATTTTTTAGTACAGAGGGGGTTTCACCGTGTTAACCAGGATGGTCTCGATTTCCTGACCTGTGATCCACCCGCCTTGGTCTCCCAAAATGCTGGATTACAGGCGTGAGCCACCGCGCCTGGCCAAAACATTTTTCTTAAGGAATTTTCACTGTAACTCAAGTTCTCCAAAAGTAAGTTGGTTTTATTGCTTACATTGTGTAGTTCTTTTCTTGTTATGCACCTTTCTGTTGCCAAGTGGTTAAAATCAAATCCTTGAGTCTTGTCTTCATTGTGGAAAAACAAAAATGGGGCTTATGGATTCTGGCATTTTTGCTCCTGAGATGTTAATAAGACTCCCAGCTGTGCAGACTCACTAAGTTATTATTCAAGCCTCATTTTCCCTGGAATTCCATTGCTCATACCTTAAAATCAGCTCCCAGGATCTCTAATCCAACAACTTTGTGACAACTTTGTTACAACTTTCTTTTTGTTGTAGATGAGCCAAAGAAAGGGAGGGATATGCCTTCAATCAGCATGGTAGAATAATTATATCATTTTGTTATAAATAAAAACATTTCCTCTTTTTCCAGTGGAAGGCTCTTTGATAGTTGCATTTGATGAGAGGTCTGTACTATTGCTATAACTTTTTTTTTTTTTTTTCAGATTGAGCTATTCAGAGGTAGAATAGGTTGCTTAGGGATATTTTAAGTTTCTTATCATTGGAGGTATTCAAAGATAAACTTGAACATTTGGTAAATATAATAAGTGAAGATTTGGTAAAGATGTTTCAGAAAGAACTCAACAATTTTCTGCATAGTTCTATAAGATGACTGGAGATAGACTTTTCTAACCCTGAAAATACACACTTATGAAAGAAAATTAATATCAATTTTCACTCTTCCTCTATAGCTGTCTGAATCCTTTTGGCCTCAGAATTGCTCTAGACAAACAGGAAGAAGCATCTGGCTCCATTTTCTGGGATGATGGTGATTCTATTGGTAAGCAGACTAACAGCACAATAGTTGAAATGTTCTGAATTTCTATATGACTTTATTAACATTATTGGAGACCTAGGCTCACAAAATAAATATGATGTAATAAACATCATTAACAAAATTCTGCTTTTTTCAACATTACTGTACAGGAACATGAAATTTTCCTTATCCCTGACACTCCTCTGGATTAAGCAACACAGGTGAGACATTATCTCCAGGAAGGTGATAACAAAATACACTATGGTTACCTGAAAGGAGAACATATTTCTCTGTTTTACTAGAGTGCTGATATAAAATTTCTTCTCATGAATACATTGGCATTTTGGGAGGAATGAGGACACCAGTCTTAAGGAGTAGGGATTTGAATGGAAAGTTGTATAGCTGTTAAGTCAGAGAAAGAAGGGACTACTGAGGTTCTGTGGTGAACAGACCTGAACCCTTCGTTGAATGATGTGTAGTAGAGGAAAAAGATACGGCTTGACCCAAGAAAACAGGTCAAGATATAGCTAGCAAAGGCACAACATCAGTGTTTTTGTTTATTTATTTCTCTTTTATTTATCCATGTTTTCCTTTGATCTAATGTCATGGATCAGTAAATTATTAGGGAAGACTTTTAGGCCCGGCATGGCGGCTCATACCTGTAATCCCAATGCTTTAGGAGACCAAGACAGTAGGATCACTTGGGCCCAGGAGTTCAGGACCAGCCTGGGCAACATAGTGAGATCTTATCTCTACAAACTGTTTTTAAAAATTTAGCCATGTGTCGCAGCACATGCCTGTAGTCCCAGCTACTCAGGAGGCTGAGGCAGGAAGATTGCTTGAACCCAGGAGGTTGAGGCTGTAGTAAGCTATGATTGCACTGCTACACTCCAGCTTGGGTGACAGAGTGAGGCCCCGTCTCAAGAAAAGGATTTCCTCAGAACAACAGAAATGACTCCCATGATAAGAATGATACATACTTACTATATAGATTGATAAATATATTCAAAGAGGCCCCATTTTACAAATCAGAAATGAGTTTTCAGGGACTACATCACAGACAATAATGCTTCTGAGGTTACTGCTCAAAGCATTTCTTCTTTCTCCACATTGACCTCACATCTATCATCAGTGAGAAAGACAGGCAAGAAGAAGAATCATTTTAATAAAAAAGATGAAAAGATTGAACAAGAGAATGTGAAGCCAAATACGAAGATACTCTCCTAATCTTACATATAGATAATATGGCTCGTTGCTTCTGGATAGAAATTAAGGGAAGGTACAGAAGCCTCCCCAGGGCCTGGATTTTCATGATAACCAGAACTCTTTTATGTCCCTTTTTAGTTTATTTTCTTTTCTTTTTCTCTCAGCGAATTATCTCAGGATAATCTGATTAAATATCTAACACTTGAAAGAGATTCTGAATTTTAGAGGCAAGAATTGAAATCAGAAGAATATTGGCAGTGGGAGAGAGAGATGCCGATGTCAGTCTGTGATTGTGTGTTTGCATATATGGACAACATAGAGAGCTTCAGGAGGAGGTTGTCCACAATGTCATTATACCATATCCCTCCTTGCTAAATGAAAGTGTTGAAAACATGTCTAAAACAAAGCTCCTTGTCTCTTATTTTTCCATATAAAATGAAAGAAGAAAATGAGGAAAAAGTGGAAAGTATGGTAAGATGATGAGGTCTACTTCATCAGATTAACTTTATTTTTTATTTTCCAAAGAACATCATGAAAAATGTAAGTTGGAGGCCAGTGATTAATCAATTAAAAAAAAATTTCCCCCAGAGGATTCTAAGTAAACAACCTAGGACAACTTATGGACTTGGAGCTTAGTTGATCAAAATCTAAATTTAAAAAAATAAATATAACATTGACCTTTATTTTCTAAAGTTAATGTTCGTTTTGTAGATTCTATTGAAAGAAGGGAGTACTTTATGTGCAATACACATTCAGTGATGTAAGTTTAAGTATTCAGTATTTGTGACATAATAGTTCATTTTTCTGAAGAAAAATATGTACCAAGAGATCTTAAAAATAAGTGTTTCAAAGTATTGGCAGTTCTCCAAATTATGTTTCATTGTACATTTCTGTATATGTCATCATTTGTTTAAAAATGTTTCTCTCCCCTAATAACAGAGAATGGTGAAAACCACTGTGATTAAAAATGGCTACCTTGGAATCAACAGTCTGGCATATGGCACAATTCAGATCCTTGGTCTGATTTCAAAGCCAAACAGTATTTCTGTAAATGGAGAAATCATTCCAAGCAACAGACTACCATATAAGTCTAATAATAGGGTAAAGTTTAAACACTATTGACTTACATGGCAAAATTTCCTTAATTAAGTCGTAAGTGCTAATAATTTAATTTTTCCTGAATGCTGCCTCTTTGAAAAAGCTACAGTAAATCACATTTCTTAAATAACAGATTGCATATTTCTGAAGCACAAGGAAGACAATAAGCATACAGTTATATTTCCAGATAAAACTGTTCCCATATCACGATTAGAAACTTTGTTGGATTAAATGTCACAGGCAATATCATGCAAGGCTGGTGCATTCTCTGGCAAGTGTAACATTAAGAAAGGATAAATGGGGAGCTAAAATAAATGAGAATTAAGTTTATAGAAAATTGAAGTGGAAGGTTTGGAGGGACTGTATTTAAATTCCTTCATGTAACAGATATTCATTTAACTGAGCACCCAGGGAGGTGTAGTGACTTATCAAGGTCATATACTCTTAACAACTGACAAAACTGAGTCTTGATCTTGAAACTCCTGACAGCTCATGCCTCTTTCCTTCTACTTCATTCTCTCTGGAAATTAAGCATATTTACTGAGCTCCTACTGAGAGTTTGAAAGTTATGCTATAGATGCATGCTTATGGATACAAGACATGGTTCCCACTCCTGAAGAACTCAATGAATAGTATGCTGAATAGACACCACTTCCCTACATTATGAGGAGAGATCTAGAGATTTCAGAGTCTCTGAAGCTCCTGTGTCTAATATTTTGTCACACAATACAACATAATTGTCTTTATAAATACAGAGAAGTGACATAGAGCTCAAACTACTAGATTTTCTTTTTTTAATTAAAAAATAATTGATAACAAGGTTGTTTGACTAATAATCTATTCAAAATGTGCCCTTCTCTATCTAAATGCATTTCTCTCTAATTGGGATTTTTTTTTGTAAGTTTGATATCTTAGTCTTAACAGTAATTCTTTACTTGAAGTTTTATAATTTACAAAGAATTTTTAGCAACATGACTCCATTTGATTCTCACCATGCTCCTGGAAGATAGATATAACTGACATTATCATGCAGATTTTACAGAGGAAGAAATGATGTCTTAGAATGATCTTGCAGTTGGTAATGGAGTGATAGGAAACTTGGTCTGCCCTCCCTGCTCTCTGTGTTCGTTCTCTTTTCTAAGCTATCTGACAGACTAAAGCTGGTTGTTGAGGTCAAGAAAACAAAAATACTTTTGGGAAATTATTTTCACAAACTTTTGTTTCATGTATGTGTGTGGCTGATCTTGAGTTAAACAAACAAAAAAAAAAACAAGAAAAAACTTGATAAAGTTCTGTAGGATGCAAAAGTAACTTTCTAATGAAATAAGCTATTGAATTGGAGGGGTCCATAGGCTTATCATCTTAGGGTCTGTAAATAATTTAGTCCAATGTGTGAATGTGTGTGTGTGTGTGTGTGTGTGTGTGAATACATGTGTTATATACATGACATACCATACCATATACACATTATTACATATAAATGTGTAAAAGTTTCCCTTGACCCTTGATAACATTTGATTGTCTTCATGGCATCATAAGTTAATTCTGATGACATCAACTGTAATTAAATTTCTTTACGTCAGTTTACTTTCATTCATTTATTTCCTTTGTCATCTGTAACAGAAAATTATTTTATGGATATTTGCACCCCTTTCCCAGGAGCCGACCATTTTATTTCATTAGGTTGAAAAGTTTTCAAAATAATAAGCAAAATAGTAGTGAAAAATTATCTATAACAGTTATTTATAAC